>NC_000010.11:616060-767575 GCF_000001405.40 Homo sapiens | reverse complement strand
AGAACCCTTATGGATCTTTCTGAGCTCTTTGCCTGAGTGATTTTCTCCTCTCCAGTACTCTGCCTCCTTTATTCAATGAGCAAGGCCAGGTTACTCAATGAACAAGGCCACCTGGCCTTGTTTTCCTTTCCTTTGCCAAGATCACAGTCTGACTTCAGGAGCCAATCTAGGCTGCTTGGAGGACTGACATCTCCACTGTTCCCCACTTCCTAGGGATCACAGTCCTGCACCGTCTGCTGTTCAGTGCCTGTAAACAGTGTTATGTACTGGGGTTATTTTGCAGATAGATTGTTAAATACATGTTATCTAATTTTCTAGCTGTTTTAGCTAGAAGTAGAAGCCTTGGTTTTATGTTTAATGATGATCTTTTTCTTAATTATGAAAATATGTGTTCATTTTAGAACATGTAGAAATCACATATAGACATAAAAAAGGAAAATAAAAATCACATACAACACACACACAAAAAATAACCTTTTGGTGTATATCTTTCTGGTAGAGTCCCTGTGAGTATATGTGTATGAGTGTGAATGTGTATATATACATACACTGGCTTTTTAATTTTTAAAATTCTTTTTGATATATTCTATTTGTACCTATTTATGGGGTACATGTAAAATTTTGTTACACTCATAGAACTTTCTGGAGGGGTCCCTATGAGTATATGTGCCTGTGTAATGATTAAGTCGGGATACTATGAATATATGTGCACGTGTAATGATCAAGTGGGGATACTATGAGTATATGCGCACATGTAATGATCAAGTGGGGATACTATGAGTATATGCACACGTGTAATGATCAAGTGGGGATACTATGAGTATATGCACATGTGTAATGATCAAGTGGAGATACTATGAGTATATGCACCTGTGTAATGATCAAGTGGGGATACTATGAGTATATGCACACATGTAATGATCAAGTGGGGATACTATGAGTATATGCGCCTGTGTAATGATCAAGTGGGGATACTATGAGTATATGTGCCTGTGTAATGATCAAGTGGGGATACTATGAGTATATGCACACATGTAATGATCAAGTGGGGATACTATGAGTATATGCGCCTGTGTAATGATCAAGTGGGGATACTATGAGTATATGCGCCTGTGTAATGATCAAGTGGGGATACTATGAGTATATGCACACGTGTAATGATCAAGTGGGGATACTATGAGTATATGCGCCTGTGTAATGATCAAGTGGGGATACTATGAGTATATGCGCCTGTGTAATGATCAAGTGGGGATACTATGAGTATATGCACACGTGTAATGATCAAGTGGAGATACTATGAGTATATGCGCCTGTGTAATGATCAAGTGGGGATACTATGAGTATATGCACACGTGTAATGATCAAGTGGAGATACTATGAGTATATGCGCCTGTGTAATGATCAAGTGGGGATACTATGAGTATATGCGCCTGTGTAATGATCAAGTGGGGATACTATGAGTATATGTGCCTGTGTAATGATCATGTTGGTATACTTAGGGTATTAGTCACTTGAGTACTTATTATTTCTATATGTTGGGTACATCTGAAGTCCTCTAGCTATTGAAAAACAATGCATAATTGTTAACTATAGTTAACAACTATAGTCTCCCTACCCTGCTATCAAACATTAGACCTTACGTTTTCTAATTGTGCATTTGCACTGTCCCCTTCATATGATTAACTTTTTAAATTTCCACATATAAGAACATGTGATGTTTGTCTTTTTGTGCCTGGCTTATTTTACTTAACACAATGAACTTCAGTTTCATCATGTTGCTGCAAATGACATGATTTCATGCTTTTTTATGGACAAATAGTATTCCATGGTGTGTGTGTGTGTGTGTGTGTGTGTGTATGTGTATATCACATTTCCTTTATCCAATCATCTGTTAATGAACACTTAGACTGGTTCCATGTCTTTGCTACTGTGACTAGTGCTGCAGTAAACCTGGGAGTGCCATGTATCCCTTTGATTTTTTTCCACTTTGGATAAATTCCCAGTAGTGGGATTGCTGGATCGTATGGTAGTTCTATTTTTAGGTGTTTTAGAAATCTCCATGCTATTCTCCATAGTTCCTAAACTAACTTACATTCCCACCAACAGTGTGTAAGAGTTCCCCTTTCTCCATATACTCACCAACATCTTCATGCTGTTCTTCCTAGTTGCTAAACTAACTTACATTCCCACCAACAGTGTGTAAGATTTCCCCCTTCTCCATATACTCACCAACATCTGTTATTTTTTTTTTCTTTTTAGTAATAGCCATTATAAGTGAGGTAAGATGATATCTCATTGTGGGTTTGATCTGCATTTCCCTGGTGATAAGTGATGTGGAACATTTTTTCATATATGTGTTGGCCATTTTTATGTCTTCTTTTGAGAAGTGTCTATTCTCCTTTGACCATTTTTTTTTTTTAATTGGATTACTTGTGTTTTTACTGTTGAGTTGTTTGAATTCCTTCCTTATATATTCTGGATGTTAGTCCCCTGTTGGATGAATAATTTGCTAACATTTTCTCCTATTCAGCTGGTTGTCTCTTCACTCTTGATTGTTTCCTTTGCTATGCAGAAGCTTTTTATTTAATATAGTCCTATTTTTGTTTTTGTTGCCTGTGCTTTTAAGGTCTTTACCATAAAATCTGTGCCTAGATCAATGTCCTGAAGTGTTTCCCCTATGTTTTCTTCTGGTAGTTTTATAGTTTCAGATCTTATGTTTAAGTCTTTAATTTATCTTGAGTTGATTTTTGTATATGGTGAGAGATAAAGGTCCAGTGTTGTTCTTCATATGGTCATCCAGTTTTCCCAGGACCATTTATTGAAGAGGGTATCCTTTGCCCAGTGTATCTTCTTGATACATTGTCAAAGATCAGTTGGTTGTAAATAGGTGCATTTATTTCTGGGCTCTCTATTCTGTTCCATTGGTCTACATATTTACTTTTATACTAATACCATCCTGTTTTGATTACTATATCCTTGTAATGTATTTTGAAGTCAGGTAATGTGATGCCTCCAGCTTTGCTCCTTTTGCTAGGATTACTTTGGCAATTCTGGGTCTTTTTTGGTTTCATGTAAATTTTAGGATTGCTTTTTCTATTTCTGTGAAAAATGACACTGGTATTTTGACAGGGATTACATGGAATCTGTAGATTAGGGAATCATGGTTATTTTAATGATATTCTTTCAATTCATGTGCAGGCAATGGCTTTCCAATTTTTATGTCTTCTTCAATTTCTTTCATCAGTATTTAGTAGTTTTCCTTGGAGAGATGTTTTACCTCCTTGATTAAATTTATTCCTAGGTATTTTATTATTTTTTGTAGCTATCATAATGGGATTGTCTTCTGGATTTCTTTTTTGACTATATTGTTATTGGCGTATAGAAATGCCACTGATTTTTATGTTGATTTTTGTATGCTATAACTTAATTTGTTTATCAGTTCTAAGAGTTTTTTGGTGGAGTCTCTTGGTTTTTCTAGATACGAGGTCATGTCATCTGCAAAAAGGGGCAATTTGATTTCCTCCTTTCCAATTTGGATTTTTTTTTTCAAGACAGAGTCTTGCTCTGTTTCCCAGGTTGGAATGCAGTGGAGTGATCTCAGCTCACTGCAACCTCTGCCACCTGGGTTCAAGTGGTTTTCCTGCCTCAGACCCCTGAGTAGCTGGGATTACAGGCACATGCCACCACGCCTGGCTAATTTTTGTATTTTTAATAGAGACGGGGTTTCACCATGTTGGCCAGGCTGGTCTCAAACTCCTGACCTCAAGTGATCCACCCACCTCAGCCTCCCAAAGTGCTGGGATTACAGGCATGGGCCACCACGCCTGGCCACTCAATTTGGATATCTTTTATTTCTTTCTCTTGCCTGATTGCTCTGGCTAGGAATTCCAGTACTATGTTGAATAGGAGTGATGAAAGTGGGCATCCTTGTCTTGTTACAGTACTAGAGGAAAGGCTTTCATTTTTTCCCATTCAGTATGATGTTAGCTGTGGGCTGGTCATATATGGCCTTTTAATTTTGAGATATGTCCCTTCTATGCCTAATTTGTTGACAGTTTTTCTCATAAAGGAATATTGAATTTTATCAAATGCTTTTTCTGCATCTATTGAGATGATCGTGTGTTGTTTTTTTTTTTTTTTGTCTTTCATTCTTTTGATTTGATGTATCACATTTACTGACTTGTGTATGTTGAACCATCCTTGCATCCCTGGGTTAAATCCTACTTGATCATAGTGTATAATCTTTTTGATGTACTGATGAATTCAGTTTGATAGTATTTTGTGGAAGATTTTTACATCTATGTTCATCAGGGATATTGGCCTATAGTTTTCTTTTTTTAATTGTGTCCTTGTCTGGTTTTGCTACCAGGGTAATGCTGGCCTTGTAGAATAAGTTAGGGAGAATTCCCTCCTTTTTAATGTTTTGGAATCATTTGAGGAGTATTGGTACTAGTTCTTCTTTACACATTTGGTAGATATGACAGGGAATCCATCTGGTCCTGAGCTTTTCTTTTTTGGTAGACCTTTTAATACTGATTCAATCTCACTACTCATTATTGGTCTGTTAAAGTTTTCTGTTTCTTCCTGATTCAATCTTCATAGGTTGTACATGTCCAGGAATTTATTCATTTCTTCAAGATTTTTCAGTTTGTTAATATAGTTGTTCACAAAAGTCTGATCTTTTGTATATCTGTGATATATTAGTTGTAACATCTCCTTTTTCATTTCTGATTTTGTTTACTTGGGTCTTCTGTCTTTTTTTGGTTAGTCTAGCTAGTGGTATATCAATTTTGTTTATCTTTTTGAAGAAACAACTTTTCATTTCATTTATCCTTAATATCGTTTCTTCATCTCTATTTCGTAAAGTTCTGCTCTGATCTTTATTATTTTTCCTTCTGCTAATTTGGGGTTTGGAATGTTTTCACCTTTCTAATTGCTTGTGGTTCATTGTTAGGTTGTATATTTGAAATCTTTCTACTTTTCTCATGTCAGAGTTTATTGCTGTGATCTTCCCTGAGCACTGGTTTTGCAGTATCCACAGAATTGGGTAGGTTGTATTTCCATTTCCATTTGTTTCAATACATTTTTTAAATGTCCATCTTCTTTATTGGCCCAGAGGTCATTCAGGAGCATGTTGTTTAATTTCTCTGTATCTTTACAGTTTTTAAACTTCCTCTTGATATTGAGTTTTAATTTTATTCCATTTTTGGTCTGAGAAAATACTTGATATGATTTTGATTTTTTAAATAATTCACTGAGACTTATTTTGTGACCTAACATATGGTCTGTCCTGGAAAATGTTCCACGTGGAGATGAGAATGTGTATTCTGCAGTTGTCGAATAAAATGTTCTGTAGATGTCTCTTAAGTCCCATTTGGTCTCAAGTCCAGTTTAAATACAACACTTCTTTGTTGACTCTCTGTCTAGAGGGTCTGTATAATGCTGAGTAAGGTGTTGAAGTCCCCCACTATTATTGTATTGGAGTCTCTCTCTTTAGATCTAGTAATATTTGCTTTATAAATTTGGGTGCTCCAGTATTGAGTGCCTACATATTTAGTCTTATTATATCATCTTGCTGGATTGATTTTTTTTATCATTTTATAATGACCGTCTTTGCCCTTTTTTACTGCTTTTGACTTAAAGTCTTCTGTTTTATCTGACATAAGTGTAGCTATTTCTGCTTGTTTTGGGTTTTTGTTTGCATGGAATATCTTTTACATTCCTTTACTTTCAGTCTATTTGTTTAAAGTGCAGTCCATATGTGCAATACCTGTAAAGTGCATTTCTTATAAGCAGCATATAGTTGGATCATGCTTTTTATCCATTCAACAAGTCTATGCCTTTCAAGTGGAGAATTTAATCCATTTATATTCAAGGTTATTATTGATGTGTGAGGTTTTGTTCCTGTCATGTTGTTAGTTGTTTTCTGGTTTGTATTCATTTTTCCTTTCTTTTTATCTTATGGGTTGTTGTGGTTTGGTGGGTTTTATGGGTTGTGGTTTGGTCATACCATTTGAGTTCTTTCTCTTCCTCATTTATGTGTTTGCTTTACTGGTAAGTCTTATATTTTCCTGTGTTTTTATGATGGTAAATGTCCTCTTTTCACTTCTAGGTAGGACTCCCTTGAGCATTTCTTGTAGGGCCATTCTAGTGGTGATGAATTTCCCCAGTGTTTATATAGGAAAGACTTTATTTCTCCTTTACTTATTGAAGATAATTTTGCTGGGTATACTATCCTTAGATAGCAGGGTTTTTTTTTTCTTTCAGTATTTTGAATATGAATATAGAATCTTATTCTCTCCTGGCCTGTAAGGTTTCTACTGAGAAACCCACTGTTAGTCTGCTGGGGGTTCCTTTGTAGATGACTAGATTCTGTTCTCTTGCTCTTTTAGAATTTTCACTTTATCTTTGAACAATTTGACTATAATGTGCCATGGAGAAGATCTTTTTGCATTGTATCTGTTTGGGGATCTCTGAGCCTCCTGTATCTAGATGTCTAAACTCTTGCTAGGCTTGGGAAGTTTTCACTTATTATTTCATTAAATAGATTTTCTAAACCTTTTGTTCTCTCTTTGCCTCTGGGATACTGATAAATATTTGGCCACTTTATGTGTCCCGTATGTCACAAAAGCTCTGCTCATTCTTTTAAATTCTTTTTTCTTTATTTTTGTCTGACTGGGTTATTTCAAAAGATTTGTCTTCAAGTTCTGAGATTCTACTGATCTATCTAGTTAATTGTTGAAGCTTTCAAATATGTTTTGTATTTCATTTAGTAAGTTCTTCACCTCCATAATTTCTGTTTGGTTCTTTTTCATGATGTTATCTCTTTGGTAAATTTCTCATTCACGTGCTGTATTGTTTTTTCTGATTTCTTTGCATTGTTTTTTATTTTTCTCTTGTATCCCACTGAGCCACTTTAAAAATCTATATTTTAAATTCTTTTTCCAGGATTTTGTAAGTTTGTTTTTTGTTGGGGTCTATTGCTGGAGAATTATGATGTTCCTTTGGAGGTGTCATATTTCCTTCCTTTATTCTGTTTCACATTTCCTTATGTTGATATCTGCAAATCTGCTCTAATAGTCACTTCTTCCCATTCGTTGAGTGTGGTTTCATAGGGGAGGATTTTTCCTGAAAATGTATCTATGGTGCTGATTGGATAGGGCCCTTTGGCTTTGATTCTGGGTGCATGCAGTAGTGTCGTCTCCATATTTCCTCTTTAGTTGTAAACAACATCGGTGGTGTCTGTGATTTCCTTTGTGGCTTAGGGTGTGGTTATTAGTGGAGGCTGTGGTGAGGCTTTGCTGGGGACTGGAATCCCAGGTGGGGCCAGTCTTCAGGCCCCAGTGGTGGCAGTGGGGGACTGACCATGCCTGTCCTTGGGACCCAAGGGGGCGTATCCTGGCACTGGTGGTAGCAGGTCCTGGTGGGCAATTTGGGGCTTCCAGGTAGCTTATTTGGATGCCAGTAGTGGTGGTGGTGGACCAGGTAAGTGGGTGGTTCTTGGGCCCCTGGTCAGCCAGCATGGCATGGGTGATGACAGTGGCAGGACGGCCCTCTGGGTCCCAAGCAGTGCATGCTGGTGCTGGTGGTGGCTGCAATGGGCTGGGCAGGCCAGTGTCTAGGCCCGCAGGTGGTACAGGCAGGTAGGCACCAGCTGTGGTAGTAGCAGCAGGGTGGGTGGGCCCAACCTCAAGACCCCAGGAGAAGTATTTAGGTGCTGACAGTGATGGACTGGGATGGGCAATTGCCTGGCACCCAGACTTCATGCTCTGGCATGGGGTGAGGGCACAGACGGCCAGGCAGGCTTGTGCTCAGGCCCCCCAGTGATGTGTGCAGGCGGCAGCTACGGTAGTCTGGGGCAGGGTCATCCCCAGCACCCCCCACGGAATGCTTGGTTTGGGGGCAGTGGCGACCATGCTGTTGCCTTCCACTGGGGAGAGTAGGACCCCCTTCACTGGTGGAAGCTTAGGCAGGTGGGTGGAGAATGCACGTGCCATGTACACCTCAGTCCTGGCAGCACCTGCACCTCAGTCCAAGCTGTGGCAGCCCGCGCCTCGCTCATGCCTCAGCCTGGCGCCACTGAGCCCCAGGACACTGCTTCAGTCCACTGGGGGTGGGACTCCAGCGCAGCACCTTGCTGTAGCTGCTTAGGTCTCAGGGAGTGTGTGGGACCCCTGAGACTCCCTCCCTCGGGCAGTGCCATCGCACAATCTCCTGGCAGCGCCCTGTCAGGTCAGGACCTGGGTGGTCAAGGGGGCTCTCCTGGCGGAGACTGCAGGAGTCCACGGTGGGAATGTAGGCTGCTGAAGGTCCCTCCTTCACCTTTCCCTGCACTAGGGGGTCTGTCCCAGCCCCCACAGTCCTGGGGCAGCAGCAGCCTTGCTCCCCTCTCTTCCTTGCTTTAGGAGTGTCCTGCCACTTTTCTGATGAATTCCAGTGTTCCCTCTTGGACAATCTACTCAGAATGTGATGAGTTACTATTTTGCTTCTTCTTAGTGAAGGAGGCAAATAACTAATGCCTCTAGTTAGCCCTCTTGGAGCCCCTCTCCCCAGTACCTTTTTTTTTTAATAAAAATAAGATGATATTGTACATACTATTTTACAATCTGATTTTCCTTTTTTCAGTTTCCACATCACTAAAGTCTGAGACCATCTCTCTCAGCTCTTTACTCATGAACCCCTTCATCTACCATCCTCCCCACTTCTGTCTTTCTTACCCTAATTATTTTGCAAAACTTCTCTGTAGAGTCAATTCCACTCCTCAACCATGCCAGACATTGCAGTGTACACAAAGGAGATAGAGGCCATGGTCTGCGTGCTTGAGGAGTTCAGGATCTCACTGGGAGAAGACAGAGGAATGCGTGGCTGTCTGGAGGGCAACAGCAACGTGCAGGTGGACACCTGACTGGCTGCGATTAGCCAAAGATGCATCAAGTGGATGCCAGAGTGGGAAGAGTTTAAAAAAAAAAAAAGAGTCACAGACCAAAACAATTAACTCTAGACTCTCACAAATGTCACCTTTTAATTAACTTTTCAGCTATTGAAAGCTTTGACTGATACGCTGGTCAGTTTTTCTCTTGTTTTAGAAAGGACTGTTTTGCCTGGCTTGAGCTGTAAAACCTGCCAATATCCCGCGGCAAAGGTCGGCAACACAAATTCAGAATGCTGCTAACAATGTGTTCACTCAAAATGCAAAGCAGGAGATCACCCATCCTGCGTGGTGCAATGTTTTGGTAACAGGCAGTTACTAGGACTCTCAGAGGTATGAAAGGGAGAATTTTACTTGTGGGATGGTAGTCACGGAGGGGGAAACAAATCCCCATTATGTGAGAGGTGAAATAAGGTAAATGGCTAATATTGAGAAGTCTTCTCTTTTAGGAGGCTGTATCCTTTTTTTTTTTTTTTTTTTTTTTTTTTTTTTTTTTTTTTTTTTTTTTCTTTTGAGACGGTGTCTCGCTCTGTTGCCCAGGCTGGAGTGCAGTGGAGCGATCTGGGCTCACTGCAAGCTCCACCTGCCGGGTTCACACCATTCTCCTGCCTCAGCCTCCTGAGTATCTGGGACTATAGGCACCCACCACCACGCCCAGCTAATTTTTTGTATTTTTAGTACAGACAGGGTTTCACCATGTTGGCCAGGATGGTCTTGATCTCCTGACCTCATGATCCGCCCGCCTCGGCCTCCCAAAGTGCTGGGACTACAGGCGTGAGCCACCGCACCCAGCCGGCGGCTGTATTCTTTAATATGCCAATTACATTTCTGTATTTTTTATTACTCAGATGATTTCACATTTTGTGTCCTATTCATCAGATATTTATATGTATAAATCACAAACATTTAAATTTACAAATATGTTTGGGTCTATTCCTGGGCTCTTTCTGTCCCCTTGGTCTATCCTGAGCCAACACCACACTAGTTGGTCCTTATAACTTGACAAATCTAGATATTGGGCAGGTCCCCACCACACTCCAGATATTGGGCAGGTCCCCACCACACTCCAGATATTGGGCAGGTCCCCACCACACTCCAGATATTGGGCAGGTCCCCGCCACACTCCAGATATTGGGCAGGTCCCCGCCACACTCCAGATATTGGGCAGGTCCCCGCCACACTCCAGATATTGGGCAGGTCCCCGCCACACTCCAGATATTGGGCAGGTCCCCGCCACACTCCAGATATTGGGCAGGTCCCCGCCACACTCCAGATATTGGGCAGGTCCCCGCCACACTCCAGATATTGGGCAGGTCCCCGCCACACTCCAGATATTGGGCAGGTCCCCGCCACACTCCAGATATTGGGCAGGTCCCCGCCACACTCCAGATATTGGGCAGGTCCCCGCCACACTCCAGATATTGGGCAGGTCCCCGCCACACTCCAGATATTGGGCAGGTCCCCGCCACACTCCAGATATTGGGCAGGTCCCCGCCACACTCCAGATATTGGGCAGGTCCCCGCCACACTCCAGATATTGGGCAGGTCCCCGCCGCACTCTAGAATTGGGCACGTCCCCGCCGCACTCTAGATATTGGGCAGGTCCCCACCACACACCCCTTCAGGAGTGTCTTAGCTACTTTTGGTTCTTTGCCTTTCAACGGGAATTTTAGAATTCATCCAATTCCACAAAATCCCTTTTGTGATTTTGATTGAAATCACTCTCAACCCATATATCAATTTGGGAGAAAGCAGCATGTTTGCGATCTTCAATCTTCCTAGCCATGAACGTATTTATCTATTTTAGAGTATCCTTTAGTGGTCTTCAGAAAGTTTCAAAATTTTCTCTGTACTGGTCTTGCAAATAATTTGTTAGATATATACAGAGTTGCCAGAGGTACATCTCCACAGTCTTTTTCATTTTTTGCTAAATACCAAATGGCCAGGGGGCTAAAGAGATGTTTGGCCAAAGCTGTGACCGAGGCTGAATATCAGAAAACTAAATAAATGTCTGAAACACAAGAATAAATATTAAATTTTATTAGAATTTTTATTTTATGCAAAATATTTCAATTTTGTTATTAAAATTTTAGTATCAAAATTTTGTTTGATGTTACGGTATAGGAAGTCGATTGCCAGAAGTGACAGTTGCTTGTGCCCTGGCAGTTACCACAGTGCACATTTGCAATGCCTTTACTTTCAAATTAGGTAAAAAACACAAAAGCAAGATATTTTTGAGGTGTATCTGTTTTTCTCTAAAACTTTCGTCTTCACGTTTTTAATGTATTTTCAATTTGCTCGTGTATTTAGTTTTGAAGACAGATTGTTGCTCCGTCATCCAGACTGGAGTGCAGTGGCATGATAATAGCTCACTGCAGCCTTGAACTCTCAAGCTCATGGGCTCCAGTGATCCTCCCACCTCAGCCTCCCAAGTAGCTAGAACTACAGGTGTGCACCACCACACCCAGCTTATTATTATTATTGAGACAGCGTCTCACTATGTTGCCCAGGCTGATTTCGAACTCCTGACCTCAAATAGTCCTCGCACTTGGAACTGCCAAAATGCTGCAATTATAGGTGTGAGCCACCATTCCCAGACTTATTTATTTATCTATTTTTAATTGACAGATAATAATTGTGTACATTTATGGGGTATAGTGTGATGGTTTGATCTATGTATACATTGTAGAAAGACTCAATCAAGCTAATTAACATATCCACCACCTCACCAACTCATCATTCTTTTTTACTGTGAGAATGCTTAAAGCCTATTCTTTTAGCAATTTCGAAGCATACATTATTATTAACTGTGGTCACCGTGCAGTGCAGTGGATCACTAAAACTCATTCCTCCTGCCTCACTGAAATGTTGTACCCTTTGATCAGCATTTCCCTTTTCCCCATCCTTCTCCTTCCCTACTTCACCCCTCAGCCTCTGGTAACCACCATTCCACTCTCTGTTTCTCTGTGGGATTGACTTTTGAAGATTCCACACGTAAGTGAGATCATGCAGTATTTGTGTTTCTGTGCCTGACCTATTCAAAGTAGCATAATGTCTTCCAGATTCATCTGTGTTTTTGAGAACAACAGAATTTCCTTCTTTTTTAAGGCTGAATAGTATTCCATTTTGCATATGCACAACGTTCTCTTTATCCTTCATCCGTCGATGGGTGCTGAGGTTGCTTCCGCATTTCAGCTACTGTGAATGGTGCTGCGGATGAACCTGGGAGTGCAGACGTCTCTTTGACGTGCTGATTTTAATTCCTGTGGCTCTACAGATGGCTCCTGACTTGTAATGGTTTGACTTACAATCTTTCAACATGACGATGGTGCAGAAGTGATGCACATTCAGTATTATTGGGGCTCTGTCCCAGTGATGCCATCATACGTCGAGGGTCGACTGTATACCTAAAGGTGGGATTGCTGGATTGCATGGTAGTTCTATTTTCAGTTTTTTGAGGAACCTCCATTCTCTTCTCCATAGAGGCTGTACTAATTTACAGTCCCACCAACAGTGTACAAGGTTTCCCTTGCTACACATCCTCACCAACACTTGTTATCATTCATCTTTTTAAAATAATAGCCATTCAAATAAGTGTGAGGTGATACCTTATTGTGGTTTTAATTTATTTCCCTGATGACTAGAAATGTTGAGCATTTAAAAATATTCCATTGGCCATTTGTATGTCTTTTTTTTTTTTTCGAGACAGAGTCTTGCTCTGTCACCCATGTTGGAGTGCAGTGGTGCAATCTCAGCTCACTACAACCTCCACCTCCTGGGTTCAAGTGATTCTCCTGCCTCAGCCTCCCAAATAGCTGGGATTACAGATGCACCACAACACTTGGCTAATTTTTGTATTTTTAGTAGAGACAGGGTTTCGTGATGTTGGCCAGGCTGGTCTTGAACTCCTGAGCTCAAGTAATACACCCACCTTGGCCTCCCAAAGTGCTGGGATTACAGGCATGAGCCACTGTGCCTGGCCTTGTGTGTCTTCTTTTGAGAAATGTCTGTTAATGTCGTTGGCCTATTTTAAAATCAGGTTATTTGTTTTTTTGGTATTGAGTTGTTTGAGTTCGTTATATTTTTGAGTATTAAGCCCTTATCAGATATATGGTTTGTAAATATTCTATCCTCATTTGTAGGTTGTCTCTTCATTTTATTGTTTCCTTTATAAATGACATTTTAAACAAATTACATTTTCTATTTATTGTTAGTATATAGACATGCAATTGAATTTTGCATATTTGTTTTATACCTAGCAAATATGACAATTTTAAATAATTTTGACCGTTTGTCTATGTATTTTGGAGAATCTTTATGAAACTACCATAACAGCTATACATGACAGTTTTGTCTTTTCCTTCACAGAATTACACTTTGTATGGCTTTTTCTTGTTTCAGTGCAATGATAAGGGTCTCAACAATGCTGAATAGGAGCCTGCCTACTAGGCATCTTTGTCTTGCTTCGGACTTTTAAAGAGATTGCTTTTTAACATTACTTCATTCATTACTAATTTTGCTGAGTTTTGCACAGATAGCCTGGGAACAGAAAATTGCAAACCCCATATTCCTTGATTCAATGAGTCTTATATACTATTATTCAGCCTGGCTCCAAAAAAATCAAGTGCATGCCAGAGATTAGGGGCCTCTTATTAGCACTTGATATAAAAAATCTTGGGAAGGTGAAGATGTTTGACTCAGGTAGGATAAGAAATCGAGGATGAAACTTGGAAATATTTGCGGGATATTTGAAGATGCTGAGACTATAAATATTTATTTTTAATTAAAAAAACTGTGGCGAAATACATATAACATAAAATTTACCATGTTAACCACAGTTTTGTGGCTTTAAATACATCCGTTGTTTTGCAACCACCACCAATATTCATCTCCACAGCTCTTGTCATCTTGTAAAACTGAAACTCTGTACCTATCAAACAGTAACTTCCCATTCCTCTCTGTCCCCAGCTCCTAGTTACGCCATTCTGCTTTCTGAACCTATTACTTCGACTACTTTAGGTGCCTCTTCTAAGTGGAATCATACAGTATTTGTCTTTTTGTCTTTTTTGTCTGGTTTATTTCGGTTAGCACAATGTCTTCAAGTTTCATCCATGTTGTAGTGTGTGTCAGAATTTCCATCCTTTTTATGTGTATTAGGGTTATCCTGGGAAACATAACCAGGAGGATAGCTATCCATATCTAAATCTACATCTATAGAGAGAGATTTATTATGGGAATTGGCTCCTGTGAACATGGAGGCTGAGAAGTCCACCATTTGCAAGTCAGAGAACCAGGAAAGCTGGTGATAAAGGAGTGCAGCCTGAGTCCGAGTTCCTAGCGTTGGTTCTTACACTTTTTCCTGGCTTTCCAGGGCTCCCTTGGGGCAGCAAGTGCCTGGAGCTGCCTATCCACCACCTTGCTGATGACACTTCCAGGCTTTCTTTTGGTTAGAATTTGCATGGTGTATCTTTTTCTATCCTTTTACCTTTTAACTGCCTATATCACTACATTCAAAGTCAATTTATTGTAGGTAGAATATGATTAGGTCATTTTTAGGTATTCTGACAATCCCTCTTTTCATTGGTGTACTTAGATGATTTACATTTAGTGTAATTATTGGTACATTTGGATTTAAGACCATGATTTCATTCGTCGTTTTCTGCTGTTCCCTATTCTCTATTCACCTGTTTCCCCTTTTCATCTTTCTTATTATTTGAACACTTTAAATATTCCATTTTAATTTATTGTGATTCTTAAACTCCACCTCCTTGTACAGTTTTTTAAGGACTGCTCTGGGAACTAGAATGTGCACATTTAGCTTTTCACAGTCAAGTTAAAATCACCATTTTAACACTTTAAATGGAATGCAGAAAGTTCATTACTACATACGGCACTTCACTCCTTCTCCTTTATGTTATATTTATCTTGTATGTTACATCTACATACCTTGAAAAAACAAATCAGACAATGCTGTAATTTTTGCTTTCAACTGCCAAACATTTTAGAGAATGCAAGAGAAGACTAGTTTACAGTAGCCCCTCTCATCCAGGTCAAACATCTTAGAGAACACAAGAGAAGACTAGTTTACAGTAACCCTCTCATCCAGGCCAAACGTCTTAGAGAACGCAAGAGAAGACTAGTTTACAGTAACCCTCTCATCCAGGCCAGACATTTTAGAGAACACAGGAGAAGACTAGTTTACAGTAACCCTCTCATCCAGGCCAAACATCTTAGAGAACGCAAGAGAAGACTAGTTTACAGTAACCCTCTCATCCAGGCCAAACATGTTAGAGAACATAGGAGAAGACTAGTTTACAGTAGCCCTCTCATCCAGGCCAAACATCTTAGAGAATGCAAGAGAAGACTAGTTTACAGTAACCCTCTCATCCAGGCCAAACATATTAGAGAACATAGGAGAAGACTAGTTTACGGTAGCCCTCTTATCCAGGCCAGACATTTTAGAGAACACAGGAGAAGACTAGTTTACAGTAACCCCTCATCCAGGCCAGACATCTTAGAGAACACAGGAGAAGACTACTTTACAGTAACCCTCTCATCCAGGCCAGACATTTTAGAGAGCACAGGAGAAGACTAGTTTACAGTAGCCCTCTCATCCAGGCCAGACGTCTTAGAGAAGGCAAGAGAAGACTAGTTTACAGTAACCCCTCTTATCCAGGCCAGACATCTTAGAGAACACAAGAGAAGACTCGTTTACAGTAGCCTTCTCATCCAGGTTTTTCCTCATCCAGGTTTTTGCTTTCTGTGGTTTTAGTTATCTGAGGTCAACCATGGTCCAAAATATTAAATGGAAAATTTTAGAAATAAAGAATTCGTAAGCTTTAAATCGCATGCCTTTCTGAGGCATGCACACCATTGTTCTTCATCCTACCTGGGATGTGAATCGTCCTTTTGTCCAGCGTATCCGTGCTGTATATGCTACCCACCTGTTAGTCCCTCAGCTGCCATCTTGGTTATCAGATCAACCGTTGCAGTATCCCAGGGCTTGTGTTCCAGTGACCCTCATTTTACTTAATCACAGCCCCAAAGCACAAGAGCAGTGATGGTGGCAATTCAGATGGACATACCAAAGAGAAGCAGTAAAATGCTTCCTTTCGGTGAAAAAGTAAACATTTTTTACTTAACAAGGCAAGAAAAAAGTTATATGCTGAGATTCCTAAGATCTTATGGTAAGAACAAATCTTCTACTCATTAAATTATGAAGATGAAAAAAGAAATTCGTATTAGTTTTGCTGTTGCACTTCAAACTGCAAAAGTTACAGCGAGGCTGGGCGCGGTGGTTCAGGCCTGTAGTCCCAGCACTTTGGGAGGCCAAGGCAGGCAGATCATTTGAGGTCAGGAGTTCAAGACCAACCTGACCAGTTCAACATGGCGAAACCCCATCTCTACTAAAAAATACAAAAATTAGCCTGGCATGGTGGCACACACCTGTAGTCCCAGCAACTCAGGAGGCTGAGGCAGGAGAATCACTTGAACCCAGGAGGCGGGTTACTGCAGTGAGCCAGTAAGTGCTTAGCTAAGATGGAAAAGGCATTACATTTGTAGATAGAAGACACGAACAAAATTGTGTTCCCACGGTCGGCAATCAGGTTCAGTGTCATCCATGGTTCCCGACATCCACTGGGGGTCTTGGAATGTATCCCCTGCAGGTAAATGGGACAACTGTATTATATTTACCCAGAAGGTCCAAATGCTTTCTTATTATTATTATCTTTTTGAGACGGAGTTTCGCCCTGTCTCCCAGGCTGGAGTGCAGTGGCGCGATCTCAACTCACTGCAAGCTCCGCCTCCTGGGTTCACACCATTCTCCTGCCTCAGCCTCCCAAACAGTGGGGGCTACAGGCGCCCGCCACTACACCCGGCTAATTTTTTGTATTATTAGTAGAGGTAGGGTTTCACCATGTTAGCCAGGATGGTCTCAATCTCCTGACCTCATGATCCGCCCTCTCGGCCTCCTAAAGTGCTGGGATTACAGGCGTGAGCCACCACGCCCGGCTGGTGATGGTCCAGATTCTTTCTAATGTTATTTCCTTCTGCTTCAGGAACTCCCATTATCACTTCTTCAGGAACAGGTTTGTGGGCAATGAATTCTCTCAGTTTTGCTTCATCTGAGAATGTCTTTATTTCATCTTCATTTTTGACAGATATTTTTCACTGGATATAGAATTCTAGGATGACAACCCTTTTCTTCAGCACATTAAAAATGTTCCATTTCCTTCTGGCTTCCATGGTTTCTGAGGATAAATGGACTGTCATTTGAAAGCTTGTTACCCTATAAGTAATACGTCATTTTACCCTGGTTGCTTTCAAATTTTTTGTCTTTGTTTTCAGCTGTTTAGTTATGATGTGTCTGAGTGTACATTTCTTTAGGCTTATCATATTTTGAGTTCACTGCACTTTCTAAACCTCAGAAGACACTGAGATTTAGATTTTTGTCAAATGGAATTTTTCAGCCATCATTTCTTCAAATGCTTCTTTTTTTTTTCTTTTTTCTTTTTTCTTTTATTTATTTATTTATTTTTTATTATTATACTTTAAGTTTTAGGGTACATGTGCACATTGTGCAGGTTAGTTACATATGTATACATGTGCCATGCTGGTGTGCTGCACCCACTAACTCATCATCTAGCATTAGGTATATCTCCCAATGCTATCCCTTCCCCCTCCCCCCACCCCACAACAGTCCCCAGAGTGTGATGTTCCCTTTCCTGTGTCCATGTGATCTCATTGTTCAATTCCCACCTATGAGTGAGAATATGTGGTGTTTGGTTTTTTGTTCTTGCGATAGTTTACTGAGAATGATGATTTCCAATTTCATCCATGTCCCTACAAAGGACATGTACTCATCATTTTTTATGGCTGCATAGTATTCCATGGTGTATATGTGCCACATTTTCTTAATCCAGTCTATCACTCATGGACATTTGGGTTGGTTCCAAGTCTTTGCTATTGTGAATAGTGCTGCAGTAAACATACGTGTGCATGTGTCTTTATAGCAGCATGATTTATAGTCCTTTGGGTATATACCCACTAATGGGATGGCTGGGTCAAATGGTATTTCTAGTTCTAGATCCCTGAGGAATCACCACACTGACTTCCACAATGGTTGAACTAGTTTACAGTCCCACCAACAGTGTAAAAGTGTTCCTACTTCTCCACATCCTCTCCAGCACCTGTTGTTTCCTGACTTTTTAATGATTGCCATTCTAACTGGTGTGAGATGGTATCTCATTGTGGTTTTGATTTGCATTTCTCTGATGGCCAGTGATGGTGAGCATTTTTTCATGTGTTTTTTGGCTGCATAAATGTCTTCTTTTGAGAAGTGTCTGTTCATGTCCTTCGCCCACTTTTTGATGGGGTTGTTTGTTTTTTTCTTGTAAATTGGTTTGAGTTCATTGTAGATTCTGGATATTAGCCCTTTGTCAGATGAGTAGGTTGTGAAAATTTTCTCCTATTTTGTAGGTTGCCTGTTCACTCTGATGGTAGTTTCTTCTGCTGTGCAGAAGCTCTTGAGTTTAATTAGATCCCATTTGTCAATTTTGGCTTTTGTTGCCATTGCTTTTGGTGTTTTAGACATGAAGTCCTTGCCCATGCCTATGTCCTGAATGGTAATGCCTAGGTTTTTTTCTAGGGTTTTTATGGTTTTAGGTCTAACGTTTAAGTCTTTAATCCATCTTGAATTGATTTTTGTATAAGGTGTAAGGAAGGGATCCAGTTTCAGCTTTCTACATATGGCTAGCCAGTTTTCCCAGCACCATTTATTAAAAGGGAATCCTTTCCCCATTGCTTGTTTTTCTCAGGTTTGTCAAAGATCAGATAGTTGTAGATATGCGGCGTTATTTCTGATGGCTCTGTTCTGTTCCATTGATCTATATCTCTGTTTTGGTACCAGTACCATGCTGTTTTGGTTACTGTAGCCTTGTAGTATAGTTTGAAGTCAGGTAGTGTGATGCCTCCAGCTTTGTTCTTTTGGCTTAGGATTGGCTTGGTGATGCAGGCTCTTTTTTGGTTCCATGTGAACTTTAAAGTAGTTTTTTCCAATTCTGTGAAGAAAGGCATTGGTAGCTTGATGGGGATGGCATTGAATCTGTAAATTACCTTGGGCAGTATGGCCATTTTCACGATATTGATTCTTCCTACCCATGAGCATGGAATGTTCTTCCATTTGTTTGTATCCTCTTTTATTTCCTTGAGCAGTGGTTTGTAGTTCTCCTTGAAGAGGTCCTTCACGTCCCTTGTAAGTTGGATTCCTAGGTATTTTATTCTGTTTGAAGTAATTGTGAATGGGAGTTCACTCATGATTTGGCTCTCTGTTTGTCTGTTGTTGGTGTATAGGAATGCTTGTGATTTTTGCACATTGATTTTGTATCCTGAGACTTTGCTGAAGTTGCTTATCAGCTTAAGGAGATTTTGGGCTGAGACAATGGGGTTTTCTAGATATACAATCATGTCATCTGCAAACAGGGACAATTTGACTTCCTCTTTTCCTAATTGAATACCCTTTATTTCCTTCTCCTGTCTAATTGCCCTGGCCAGAACTTCCAATACTCTGTTGAATAGGAGTGGTGAGAGAGGGCATCCTTGTCTTGTGCCAGTTTTCAAAGGGAATGCTTCCAGTTTTTGCCCATTCAGTATGATATTAGCTGTGGGTTTGTCATAGATAGCTCTTATTATTTTGAAATATGTCCCATCAATACCTAATTTATTGAGAGTTTTTAGCATGAAGGGTTGTTGAATTTTGTCAAAGGCCTTTTCTGCATCTATTGAGATAATCATGTGGTGTTTGTCTTTGGCTCTGTTTATATGCTGGATTACATTTATTGATTTGCGTATATTGAACCAGCCTTGCATCCCAGGGATGAAGCCCACTTGATCATGGTGGATAAGCTTTTTGATGTGCTGCTGGATTCAGTTTGTCAGTATTTTATTGAGGATTTTTGCATCAATGTTCATCAAGGATATTGGTCTAAAATTCTCTTTTTTGGTTGTGTCTCTGCCCGGCTTTGGTATCAGAATGATGCTGGCCTCATAAAATGAGTTAGGGAGGATTCCCTCTTTTTCTATTGATTGGAATAGTTTCAGAAGGAATGGTACCAGTTCCTCCTTGTACCTCTGGTAGAATTCGGCTGTGAATCCATCTGGTCCTGGACTCTTTTTGGTTGGTAAGCTATTGATTATTGCCACAATTTCAGATCCTGTTATTGGTCTATTCAGAGATTCAACTTCTTCCTGGTTTAGTCTTGGGAGGGTGTATGTGTCGAGGAATTTATCCATTTCTTCTAGATTTTCTAGTTTATTTGCGTAGAGGTGTTTGTAGTATTCCCTGATGGTAGTTTGTATTTCTGTGGGATCGGTGGTGATATCCCCTTTATCATTTTTTATTGCATCTATTTGATTCTTCTCTCTTTTTTTCTTTATTAGTCTTGCTAGCGGTCTATCAATTTTGTTGCTCCTTTCAAAAAACCAGCTCCTGGATTCATTAATTTTTTGAAGGGTTTTTTGTGTCTCTCTTTCCTTCAGTTCTGCTCTGATTTTAGTTATTTCTTGCCTTCTGCTAGCTTTTGAATGTGTTTGCTCTTGCTTTTCTAGTTCTTTTAATTGTGATGTTAGGGTGTCAATTTTGGATCTTTCCTGCTTTCTCTTGTGGGCATTTAGTGCTATAAATTTCCCTCTAGACACTGCTTTGAATGTGTCCCAGAGATTCTGGTATGTTGTGTCTTTATTCTCATTGGTTTCAAAGAACATCTTTATTTCTGCCTTCATTTCGTTATGTACCCAGTAGTCATTCAGGAGCAGGTTGTTCAGTTTCCATGTAGTTGAGCGGTTTTGAGTGAGATTCTTAATCCTGAGTTCTAGTTTGATTGCACTGTGGTCTGAGAGATAGTTTGTTATAATTTCTGTTCTTTTACATTTGCTGAGGAGAGCTTTACTTCCAAGTATGTGGTCAATTTTGGAATAGGTGTGGTGTGGTGCTGAAAAAAAATGTATATTCTGTTGATGTGGGGTGGAGAGTTCTGTAGATGTCTATTAGGTCCGCTTGGCGCAGAGCTGAGTTCAAGTCCTGAATACCCTTGTTAATTTTCTGTCTCAATCTGTCTAATACTGACGTTGGGGTGTTAAAGCCTCCCACTATTACTGTGTGGGAGTCTAAGTAATAGAGCTGTGGTGGGCTCCATCCAGTTCGAGCTTCCCAGCTGCTTTGTTTACCTAAGCAAGCCTGGGCAGTGGTGGGCGCCCCTCCCCCAGCCTCGCTGCCGCCTTGCAGTTTGATCTCAGACTGCTGTGCTAGCAATCAGAGACTCCGTGGGGTAGGACCCTCCGAGCCAGGTTCAGGATATAATCTCGTGGTGTGCCGTTTTTTAAGCCCCTCGGAAAAGCGCAGTATTCGAGTGGGAGTGACCCGATTCTCCAGGTGCCGTCCGTCACCCCTTTCTTTGATTAGGAAAGGGAACTCCCTGAGCCCTTGCGCTTCCCAAGTGAGGCAATGCCTCGCCCTGCTTCGGCTCGCGCACGGTGCGTGCACCCACTGACCTGCACCCACTGTCTGGCACTCCCTAGTGAGATGAACCCGGTACCTCAGATGGAAATGCAGAAATCACCCGTCTTCTGCGTCGCTCCCAAATGCTTCTTTTTGCATCATACGCTTTCTTCGCTTCTTCTGGGACTCTGGTAGCATGAATATTAGACATTTTGATGTTGTCCTATGAGTCCCTGAAGCTGTCATTTTTTCAGTCTTTTTCTGTCTCTGTTTAGGTTGGATAATTTCTGTTGGTCCTTCTTCAAGTTTGCCGTCTTTTTCCTCTGTCATTTCCATTCTTCTGCTGAGACTATCTGTTGAGTTTTAATTTTTCCATGATAGTATTTTGTTAAAATTTTTTCCATTTGGTGTTTGGAAAGGCAGTCACATGCATGAAGTCCTTTGACCCCCTTTAGGCTGCATAAAGATGAGCATTGGGCCTGGAATACTTCCTTACCATGAGGTAACGAGCCCACGCAGCCTGTGTTGGGCTCATCACCTTGGGTGGGAATATCTTTCCCTTTTTCAAGCTCCATGTGTGCTTTCTAATTTAATTTAATTATTTATTTATTTTTTTGAGACAGAGTTTTGCTCTTGTCGCTCAGGCTGGAGTGCAGTGGCGCGATCTTGGCTCACTGCAACCTCCACCTCCCGGGTTCAAGTAAAAACCTGGGGCTGGGCGCGGTGGCTCATGCCTGTAATCCCAGCACTTTGGGAGGCCGAGGCGGGCAGATCACGAGGTCAGGAGATCGAGACCATCCTGGCTAACACAGTGAAACCCCATCTCTACTAAAAATACAAAAAATTAGCCAGGTGTGGCAGCATGTGCCTGTAGTCCCAGCCAGTTGGGAGGCTAAGGCAGGAGGATGGTGTGAACCTGGGAGGCAGAGCTTGCAGTGAACCAAGATCGCACCACTGCACTCCAGCCTGGGTGATAGAGTGAGACTCCATCTCAAAAAAACAAACAAAACAAAAAAACCTGGGACACTCCCTAGTAGCTGGGATTATAGGCATGCACCACCACACCCAGCTAATTTTTGTGCTTTTAGTAGAGACAGGGTTTCAACATGTTGGCCAGGCTGGTCTTGAACTCCTGACCTCAGGTGATCCACCCACATTGGCCTCCCAAAGTGCTAGGATTACAGGCAAGAGCTACTGTGCCTGGCCTTATATTAAGTAATTTTGGATTGTATGTTGGACAATTTGAATATTATGGTACAGTATTTGAGGTCTTGTTTAAGTCTTATGAAAATTGTACATATGTTTCAAGTCAGATCTATGCATGCATAGTTCAGAGGTGAGCCCAGACGTTCATAAACAGCTTCATGGATTTGGTGTTCTGAGCTCCTTTTCCTCCACGATGTCCTGGTGTTCTGAGCTCCTTTTCCTCCACAATGTCCTGGTGTTCTGAGCTCCTTTTCCTCCATGATGTCCTGGCACTTTTCAAATGTGCTGGAGCTCCCCATTTCAATCCTCCAGTCAGAAAACTGGAACTTTCTTCACCTTGTCCTGCTGTCCACCTCATGCCACTGCTCCTGCATCCAGGGCCAGCCAACCAGAGAAGAGAAGAAAGGAAACTGAGGTGTGTCTCCACCCAGCCCAGTGCCTCCACCCAGCCCAGTGTCCCCACCCAGCCCAGTGCCCCCACCCAGCCCAGTGTCCCCACCCAGCCCAGTGCCCCCACCCAGCCCAGTGCCCCCACCCAGCCCAGTGTCCCCACCCAGCCCAGTGTCCCCACCCAGCCCAGTGCCTCCACCCAGCCCAGTGCCCCCACCCAGCCCAGTGTCTCCACCCAGCCCAGTGCCTCCACCCAACCCAGTGCCCCCACCCAGCCCAGTGCCCCCACCCAGCCCAGTGTCCCTACCCAGCCCAGGGCCCCCACCCAGCCCACTGTCCCCACCCAGCCCAGGGCCCCCACCCAGCCCAGTGTCTCCACCCAGCCCAGTGTCTCCACCCAGCCCAGTGTCCCTACCCAGCCCAGTGCCACCACCCAGCCCAGTGCCCCCACCCAGCCCAGTGCCACCACCCAGCCCAGTGCCATGGCTCCTCCACGTGGAGAGGAAGGTCTGGCTGCCCACCAGTTTAAGCTCCTGTGGGTGGGTCCTTCTGGCTGTTGTTGCCACTGCTGCCACCACAGAATTACTTAGGGATTAGGACGTGAGCGAATATATACATATATACATATTTGTAATGGGAAATTTCTGAGTGTTAGGAGACCCCTTTCTAATGACTCAACCCAAAACTTGAGGGCATCTGTGGCTGTCTGTATCCATACCCTGTAGTCTAGATTTTAGGCTGTATTGAGTCTAGGCTGGATGACGCTGAAGGAAAACATGGTAAACTCACTGCCCGTTCATGATATTTAAAATTCTGTTCTTCTTCCCAATGTGCCTGTTACTATTTACTGTTCAGAGACTTCCATTCGCTGCTCCATACGTCATATTCAGGTTGTTTAATAGCTGCTGCATTTAGTGGGAAAGACAGGAAGGAGAGTTCCTTTAGAACAGGAACCGGGATTCGACACCCTTCACTCTCACATCCAATCACAGCTGCCGTTTTAATACGTCACATGAAATGTGGAAACTCCACAGTCACATAGGTCAGTATTTCTCCCGCCCACATTCTTTATGGTATCGTTGTTAGACGTATTTTATTTACACCTATTATGAACTCCACAAGGTAATGTTGTAGTATTTGCTTTAAACAGTCACATGCAGTATAAAAGAATTAAAGGCAATAAAGAAAAAAACATCTTTTGTATTTGCCCAGATATTTACCATTTCTTCTGCTCTTCATTCACTTCTAAGGATCCACATTTTCATCTCATCTCAACTCCTTTCATTCTGAAAGAAATTCTTTTAGCATTTCATGTTGTGAGAGTTTACTGGTGAGAAATTGTTTTCTTTGACATGAAAACGTCTTTCTTTCTCTTTCTTTCTTTCTTTTTTTTGAGAAGGAAAACACGGTAAACTCACTGCCAGTTCAGTGATTGATTGACTGATAGATTTTTGACACAAAGTCTTACTCTGTCGGCCAGGCTGGAGTGCAGTGGTGTGATCTTGGCTCACTGCAACCTCCACTTCCCGGGTTCAAGCAATTCTTCTACCTCAGCCTCCTGAGTAGCTGGGATTACAGGGACCCACCACCATGCCCAGCTAATTTTTGTAGTTTTAGTAGAGATGGGGTTTGACCATGTTGGCCAGGCTGGTCTCGAACCCCTGACCTCACGTGATCCAGCCACTTTGGCCTCCCAGAGTGCTGGGATTACAGGCATGAGGCACTGCGCCCGGCCTGCTATTCGTCTCCTGAATTACAATTTCAAAGCTGTTTTATATTTTTAGATCCTGTCAAGGGTGGTGTGTTCTCGCTCTCTTTCCTCATTTTCTAGGCAGACGCACTGCCGGTTACAGGTGAGCTGTCGTGCCTTCAAGGTTCATCCTTCTGTTTATGCTGCCACTTGGCTAAAAATCTATTTTAATTCTTTTCATTTGATTTCATTTTCATTTTATGGAGAAAATTGTAGCCGCCGTAAATAACGACTGAATCTTCTATTTTCATTTCCCTTCCTGTTGGAATATCTCATCTTTTGCTGTTTACTCTTCACTGGAAGCTCCTCCCCACGACCGACCCCCTAAGCCTCCCCAGACCACGCCATGGCCGCCTGAAGATGGACGCGTGGCCTGGTGGGGGGTGTTTAGCACACAGTAGGGTCGTCTCATTTATTTCTTCTCCAACTTGACCAGTTCAGTTAAAATGGCCAAGAAGAGCACACCCTAACAACAAAGCTTTGGAAGAGGTTTTTAGGTAAAAGCAGTAAGAAAGGCTTCGCCAGAGACTGCTGCTGAAAACAGATGAGGTGGAACTAATTTCCAGTGCTAGATTTTTGGTTGTGGTAAGAACAAAGTTGAACAGAGTTTTATTTTAAAATTATTCAGTGAAAGTACAATGAAAATAATCTAAGTTTTCTTGGCTGAAATGGCAAACTAAGGAATTAAGGTAATTACATGGATAGTTCAAATCAAAATTTGCACTTGGAACATCTGGATAATTAAGTACAAAATGAAGGTTTTCTTTTCTTGAATTACCTGCAAAACTGTTTAATCTTCCGTTTCACCTTGATGTATGTAACAGTGGTCTAGGCAATAATATTTTTTGAAAGAAACCGGTAGAGAAACAGGGAAAGTATCGGAAGAGGTAATTCACAGAAGAAATTCAAATAGCCAATATACATATGGAAATAAGTTATACCTCAATATTAGGCTGGGAAATCAAAGTGAAAGAAATGATTAATATGATTTTTTAAACCTATCAGATTAGCAAACATTTAAAAAATTAGTATCCAATGTTGGTAAGCCTGTGGTGAAGTAAATGTTCTCATCTACCATTGGAGGGACTGCACATTAATTCACATGATTTGGAGTGTGGGGTAGATGGCAACATGGCCTCCATCAACACCTTCCACCTGGAAGTCTGCAGCAATCTCCCCTGAGACTGTGGCTCACGTCTGCATACAATAGGATATTATTTAGACTTAAAAAGAACTTATTTTGCAAGAAAATATTGAGGTGAGAATTCTGTAGGTACTCTTTAAATAATAGTACATGAGTTCAATAGTTAGGTTTTTTTTTTGACCCAGTTAATGATTTCTTTTGCTATTTGTATTAAAGTGTGTGGGATGTACGGATGAGTTGAAATGTGTTTCTAATGTTAATATATAGGTAGGTTTAATGTTATATAGTTGTGATTAATGGGTCATTGAAATATGAGTCTTTGTTAATTGTTTGGATTTTCTCATGGGCCTTTGTGGCAGGTCTTTAGGTGTCCTCATTATGTATGTATTCTGCCTTTTGTTCTTATGGTAATGCTATGTTTCTGTGTAAAAGACTTTCTTTCAGCTGGGTGCGGTGGCTCACACCTGTAATCCCCGCTACTCGGGAAGCTGAAGCGGGAGGATCTCTTGAGCCCAGGAGGTCAAGGTTGCAGCGAACTATGATCCGCACCACTGCACTCCAGCCTGGGCAGCAGAGCGAGACCCTGTCTCAAAAAAAAGTCAGTTTTATTCTCTTTGCTAATAAAGAATCAGAGTCAATTTATGTCTGTAAAATTTACCATATAGTCTCATATGGATTATTATTTCCACCTGTCACCCTTTTATCATTATTTCTGGCTGTTTTCACAGTTCACTTTGAATTAAGGAGGGAGACCTGTGAGGGCACAGCAAGTCGTATTTGAGCTGAGGGAGAAAGAATTCAGTCTCAGCATCAAGTATGGTGACAGCTGGGGATTTTGCTTAAAGCAGGCTGGGAAAAGAAGGAAATTCGAACGCAGGCTGCAACACGGATGAACCTTGAGGACGTCGTGCTGAGGTGAATTAAGCCAGACACAGAGGACAAAGGGGCAAACGCTACATGATTCCACTCACAGGAGGTCCCTGGAGTTGCGTGAGATGCACAGAGAAAATGGAAGGGTGGGTGCCCGGGGCTGGGGGAGGTGGGCAGGGAGCAGGTGTTTAATGGCAAAGAGTTTCTGTTTGGGAAGACAGGGCCCTGGGGATGATGGTGGTGATGGTCGCACAGCAGTGCGTGTGTGCTTGGTGCCACTGAACTGTTCACTTAAAAGTGGTTAATTTTATGTTATATGTGTTTTGTTTTTTGTTTTTGAGACGGAGTCTCACTCTGTCGCCAGGCTGGCGTACAGTGGTGCCATCTCGGCTCACTGCAACCTCCGCCTCCCGGGTTCAAGTGATTCTCCTGCCTCAGCCTCATGAGTAGCTGGGACTACAGGTGCCCACCACCACGCCCGGCTAATTTTTTTTTTTTTTTTTTTTTTTGAGACAGAGTCTCACTGTCACTCAGGCTGGAGTGCAGTGGCACAATCTCGACTTAGTGCAACCTCCACCTCCCAGGTTCAAGTGATTCTCCTTCCTCAGCCTCCCAAGTAGCTCAGGTTACAGGCATGCATCAGCACACCCAGTTAATTTTTGTATTTTTAGTAGAGATGGGGTTTCACCATGTTGGCCAGGCTGGTCTTGAACTCCTGACCTCAGGTGATTTGCCCTCCTTGGCCTCCCAAAGTGCTGGGATTACAGTCATGAGCCACCATGCCTGGCCTGTTACGTGTATTTTATCACAATAAAAATAACAACTAATGGAAATAAGTAATAAATCCTCAGCATAAAATAAATTCAAAAAATATAAAAAGTGTAAAGTGACAAGTGAGATGCTCCAGTTCTCCCGTCCTTCCACCATGTGACACTGACACATGCGATCAGTTAGAAGTTAACCCCGTTAGACTTCTCCCATGTGCTCATGTGCACATGCACACACAACACACACAGACACATACATGCACAGACACACAAACACAGACACACACACAGACACATACACACACGCCCAGACACACAGACACATACATGCACAGACACAGACACATACATGCATGGACACACACAGACACGCACACAGACACATACATATATGCACAGACACACAGACACATACATACATGCACAGACACACACACAGACACATGCACAGACACACACATGAATGCAGACACATACATGCACTCACAGACCCATACATGCAGACACACAGACATGCACATGTACAAACACACTCAGACATACATGCACACGCAAACAGAGACACATACATGCACAGACACATACACACACATGCACACACATACAAACATACATACATGCACAGACACACAAACAGACACATGCAGACACATACATACATGCACACACACAGTGTTTTTTGTTTAAAAATGAGGTTATATATTATTCTGCCACTTTGTTTCTTTACTTTATAACATATCACAGGTGTTTCTTCCTGTCTGAGGCTAGGTATCTTTTACAATTATTTCCTGAGCAAGACACTTGTGAGACCTCAGTCTCAGAACACCACCTCCTCATATCCACCTTTTTAAGACCTTAGAATTGTGCCCAGCACACAACAGATGCATGTGGGATGCTGGATACATGGACACAACCCTGAGGATCACATGTGCCTCAAAGGACCCAAAGACGAGTTGTGGTTTATGGATCAGGTGACCCAGGCTGTAATGCAATGCGTCCTTAGTGGCAAAATTAAAACCTGGATGTGTTACAGGTGCTTTTAGTTGAAAGTTTATTTAATTGAAAGTTATTCCCTTAAGACACACAGTTTACACACATCATGCTTAGAGTCTGGAAGTAAAATTCACATCCTATTTTGGATGGATTCATTAGACTTTCCCTCACACACCCCCCAATGGTTTCCTTGTGTTGATCTTTGGATATTCAAGATAAAGTGGCTTAGTGATGCTAGATCTGCAGCCTCACTCTGTCCCGGGTCTGGAGCCTCACTCTATCCGGGTCTGGAGCCGCACTCTATCTGGGTCTGGAGCCTCACTCTATCCGGGTCTGGGAGCCTCACTCTATCCAGGTCTGGAGCCTCACTCTGTCCCGGGTCTGGAGCCTCACTCTATCCGGGTCTGGAGCCGCACTCTATCTGGGTCTGGAGCCTCACTCTATCCGGGTCTGGGAGCCTCACTCTATCCAGGTCTGGAGCCTCACTCTGTCCGGGTCTGGAGCCTCACTCTGTCCCGGGTCTGGAGCCTCACTCTGTCCCGGGTCTGGAGCCTCACTCTGTCCGGGGTCTGGAGCCTCACTCTATCCGGGTCTGGAGCCTCACTCTATCCGGGTCTGGAGCCTCCCTCTGTCCCGGGTCTGGAGCGTCACTCTGTCCCGGGTCTGGAGCCTCACTCTGTCCCGGGTCTGGAGCCTCACTCTGTCCCGGGTCTGGAGCCTCCTTCTATCCGGGTCTGGAGCCTCCCTCTATCCGGGTCTGGAGCCTCACTCTGTCCGGGTCTGGAGCCTCACTCTATCCGGGTCTGGAGCCTCACTCTATCCGGGTCTGGAGCCTTACTCTATTCGGGTCTGGAGCCTCACTCTGTCCCGGGTCTGGGGCCTCCCTCTGTCCGGGTCTGGAGCCTCCCTCTATCCGGGTCTGGAGCCTCACTCTGTCCCGGGTCTGGAGCCTCCCTCTATCCGGGTCTGGAGCCTCACTCTACCTGGGTCTGAAGCCTTACTCTATCCGGGTCTGGAGCCTCCCTCTATCCGGGTCTGGAGCCTCCCTCTATCCGGGTCTGGAGCCTCACTCTACCTGGGTCTGAAGCCTCACTCTACCTGGGTCTGGAGCCTTACTCTATTCGGGTCTGGAGCCTCACTCTGTCCCGGGTCTGGAGCCTCACTCTGTCCGGGTCTGGAGCCTCCCTCTATCCGGGTCTGGAGCCTCACTCTGTCCGGGTCTGGAGCCTCACTCTATCCGGGTCTGGAGCCTCACTCTATTCGGGTCTGGAGCCTCACTCTGTCCCGGGTCTGGAGCCTCCCTCTGTCTGGGTCTGGAGCCTCCCTCTATCCGGGTCTGGAGCCTCCCTCTGTCCCGGGTCTGGAGCCTCCCTCTATCCGGGTCTGTAGCCTCACTCTAACTGGGTCTGAAGCCTTACTCTATCCAGGTCTGGAGCCTCACTCTATCCGGGTCTGGAGCCTCACTCTATCCGGGTCTGGAGCCTCACTCTATCCGGGTCTGAAGCCTCACTCTACCTGGGTCTGGAGCCTCACTCTATTCGGGTCTGGAGCCTCACTCTGTCCCGGGTCTGGAGCCTCACTCTGTCCCGGGTCTGGAGCCTCACTCTGTCCCGGGTCTGGAGCCTCACTCTATCCGGGTCTGGAGCCTCACTCTGTCCGGGTCTGGCGCCTCACTCTGTCCGGGTCTGGGAGCCTCACTCTGTCCCGGGTCTGGAGCCTCACTCTGTCCCGGGTCTGGAGCCTCACTCTGTCCCGGGTCTGGAGCCTCACTCTATCCGGGTCTGGAGCCTCACTCTATCCGGGTCTGGAGCCTCACTCTACCTGGGTCTGAAGCCTTACTCTACCCGGGTCTGAAGCCTCACTCTATCCGGGTCTGGAGCCTCACTCTGTCCCGGGTCTGGAGCCTCACTCTGTCCCGGGTCTGGAGCCTCACTCTATCCGGGTCTGGAGCCTCACTCTATCCGGGTCTGGAGCCTCACTCTACCTGGGTCTGAAGCCTCACTCTATCCGGGTCTGGAGCCTCACTCTGTCCCGGGTCTGGAGCCTCACTCTGTCCCGGGTCTGGAGCCTCACTCTACCTGGGTCTGAAGCCTCACTCTACCTGGGTCTGGAGCCTCACTCTGTCCCGGGTCTGGAGCCTCACTCTGTCCCGGGTCTGGAGCCTCCCTCTATCCGGGTCTGGAGCCTCCCTCTATCCGGGTCTGGAGCCTCACTCTGTCCCGGGTCTGGAGCCTCACTCTGTCCCGGGTCTGGAGCCTCACTCTACCTGGGTCTGGAGCCTCCCTCTATCCGGGTCTGGAGCCTCACTCTGTCCGGGTCTGGAGCCTCACTCTGTCCCGGGTCTGGAGCCTCACTCTGTCCGGGTCTGGAGCCTCACTCTGTCCCGGGTCTGAAGCCTCACTCTATCCGGGTCTGGAGCCTCACTCTGTCCCGGGTCTGGAGCCTCACTCTGTCCCGGGTCTGGAGCCTCACTCTGTCCGGGTCTGGGGCCTCACTCTGTCCCGGGTCTGAAGCCTCACTCTATCCGGGTCTGGAGCCTCACTCTGTCCGGGTCTGGAGCCTCACTCTGTCCCGGGTCTGGAGCCTCACTCTGTCTGGGTCTGGAGCCTCACTCTGTCCGGGTCTGGAGCCTCACTCTACCTGGGTCTGGAGCCTCCCTCTATCCGGGTCTGGAGCCTCACTCTGTCCGGGTCTGGAGCCTCACTCTGTCCCAGGTCTGGAGCCTCACTCTGTCCGGGTCTGGAGCCTCACTCTGTCCCGGGTCTGAAGCCTCACTCTATCCGGGTCTGGAGCCTCACTCTGTCCCGGGTCTGGAGCCTCACTCTGTCCCGGGTCTGGAGCCTCACTCTGTCCGGGTCTGGAGCCTCACTCTGTCCCGGGTCTGAAGCCTCACTCTATCCGGGTCTGGAGCCTCACTCTGTCCGGGTCTGGAGCCTCACTCTGTCCCGGGTCTGGAGCCTCACTCTATCCGGGTCTGGAGCCTCACTCTGTCCCGGGTCTGGAGCCTCACTCTGTCCCGGGTCTGGAGCCTCACTCTATCCGGGTCTGGAGCCTCACTCTACCCGGGTCTGGAGCCTCACTCTACCTGGGTCTGGAGCCTCACTCTATCCGGGTCTGGAGCCTCACTCTGTCCCGGGTCTGGAGCCTCACTCTGTCCCGGGTCTGGAGCCTCACTCTGTCCCGGGTCTGGAGCCTCACTCTGTCCCGGGTCTGAAGCCTCACTCTACCTGGGTCTGGAGCCTCCCTCTATCCGGGTCTGGAGCCTCACTCTGTCCCGGGTCTGGAGCCTCACTCTGTCCCGGGTCTGGAGCCTCACTCTGTCCCGGGTCTGGAGCCTCCTTCTATCCGGGTCTGGAGCCTCACTCTATCCGGGTCTGGAGCCTCACTCTGTCCGGGTCTGGAGCCTCACTCTGTCCGGGTCTGGAGCCTCACTCTCTTCGGGTCTGGAGCCTTACTCTGTCCCGGGTCTGGAGCCTCACTCTGTCCCGGGTCTGGAGCCTCCCTCTGTCCGGGTCTGGAGCCTCACTCTGTCCCGGGTCTGGTGCCTCACTCTGTCCCGGGTCTGGAGCCTCACTCTGTCCTGGGTCTGGAGCCTCACTCTATCCGGGTCTGGAGCCTCACTCTGTCCGGGTCTGGGTGCTGGTATCCTGGGTCTGGGTGCTAGTTTTCAACTTCAACTTCAGGGAAATTGCTGTGCTTCCATTTTTCTCCTTTTCCTCTTTTTTTTTTTTTTTTTTAAACTTGGTTTTATTTTAGGTTCAAGGGATACACGTGCATGTTTGTCCCATGGGTGTATTGCGCACTGAGGGGATTGAGCTTCTAGAGTGCCCATTACCCAAACGGTGAGCGCTGCACCTGACAGGTAGTTTTTCATCCCTCGCCCCCATTCCTCCCTCCCCCTTCTCAAGTCCTCAGTGTCTGTTGTTTCCTTCTTTATGTCCATGTGTACCCACCATTTAGCTCCCACTGATAAGTGAGAACATGCAGTATTTGCTTTTCTGTTTCCGAGTCAGTTCATTTAAGATAATGGTCTCCAGCTCCAACCACGTTGCTGCAAAGGATGTGGTTTCATTCTTTTGTATGGCTGCATAATATTCCATAGTTTGGATGTGCCACGTTTCCTGTATCCAGTCAACCATTAATGGACGCTTAGGTTGGTTCCATGAGTTTGCTACTGTGAGTGGTGCTTTGATAAACATACAAGTATGGGTGTCTTTTTTGTATAATGATTTCTTTTCCTTTGGGTAGATGCCCAGAAGTGGGATTGCTGGGTAGGATGGTAGCTCTATTTTTAGGTCTTTGAGAAATCTCCATACTGTTTTCCGTAGAGGTTGAACTAATTTACATTCCCAGCAAAGGGCATAAGCATTCCCTTTTCTCCACATCCATGCCAACATCTGGTGTTTTTTTTTTTTTTTTGACATTTTAATAGTCATTCTGACTGGTGCAAGATGATATCTCGATGTGGTTTTAATTTGCATTTTTCTGATGATTTGTGATATTGAGCGTTTTTTCATGTGGTTGTTGGCCATGTGTATTTATTCTTTTGAGAAATGTCTGTTCGTGCCCTTTGCCCAGTTTGTAATGGGGTTTGTTTTTTCTTCTTGTTGTTTGAGTTCCTTGTCATTTCTGATATTAGTCCTTTGTTGGAGGCATAATTTGTAAATATTTTCTACCGTTCCATTTCTTGTCTGTTCACTCGGTTGATGATTTCTTTTCCTGCACGTTTCAGTCTTTCATCCATCTGGAGATAATTTTTGTACATGATAAGAGATAGGAGTCCAGTTTTATTCTTCTGGATATTGACAGCCAGTTTTCCCAGCAGCACTTATTGAATAGGATGTCCGTTTCTCATTGTTTATTTTTGTCAACTTTGTTGAAGATCAGTTGCAGGTATGTGGCTTTATTCTGGGTTCTCTATTCTATGCCATTGATCTATGTGTCTATTTTTGTACCAGTACCACGCTGTTGTTACTATAGACTTGTAGTATAATTTAAAGTCAGGCAACGTGATGCATCTGGATTGGTTCTTTTTGCTCAGGAGGAATGCTTTGGCCATTCAGGCTCTTTTTTGGTTCCATATGAACTTTAGGATTGTTTTTTCTAATTCTGTGAGAAATGACATTGGTACTTTGATAGGGATTGCATTGAATCTGTAGATTGCTCCAGGCAGTATGGTCATTTCGATGATACTGATTCTTCCAATTCATGAGCATGCGATGCTTTTCCATGTTTTTTGTGTCATCTACAATTTCTTTCATCGTGTTTTGTAGCTCTTCTTGTAGAGATCTTTCATCTCTTTGATTAAACGTATTCCTAGGTACTGTATTGTTTTTGTGGCTATTATAAATGGAATTGAGTTCTTACACCCCTCCCTGTCCCACCTCGCTGTACACTCAGACACACTCAGAAACACATGTACATACACACTTACGCTCACACTGAACTCACACACTTAGACATGAGTGTATGACATGACGTCTTTCACACACACCCACAAACTCTCACAAACACACATGTACACACACACAAACATACAAAACATGCACACTCACACTCGAACACACACATTCACATGCACTCACCCTCAGACACACACAGTACCTTTGGGATATAAAAACAACTCCCAGTCTCCCTCCTCGTGGAAGAAAAACTGGTCTCAGATGGGATTGGGAGAAAATTCAGCCGCAGGACATCAGAGCAAACCAAGCTGCCGACTGCCCACGAGCACGAGGGAGGAAGAGGAGGAGCGAGACAGGAGGAGGGAGGGAGTGGGTAGGGAGAGAAGGAGAAGGAAGAACGAAGGAAGAAAGGAGGGAGAGAGGAAGGGAGGAAAGATGACAGGTGGGAAGGAGGGAGAGAGGAAGGGAGGAGGGAGGGAAAAGAACCGGGTTAGCAAAACATGAAGAACCCAGGCTAGAAGAAACATTGCAAAAGGAACAGAAGTAAATTCCCTTCAGGGCTTCCCACTTGCTGTGGAAAATATTATTATATGAATGAAATAAAACAGCAGTTCAAAGACGAGATGGCAAAACAACAGGAAGCCGTGGAGAGCTAAGGAAACAATAGCATCAACAAAACAAAACCTTCCCGGTTAATTTAATTTAATTACAAACAAGGGAAGAATAAACATGACTGGAAAGTCAAGTTAAAGGGGAACTTGAGATGATGAAAGAGACAGCGGGAAACGCCCAGGAGCCGAGAGCGGTGGCTCAAAGGTGGAGAAGGAGAAGGTGTGTGTGACCCATGCGAGGACAATGCGCCCTGGATAGCGACTTCAGAGAAGGAGCAGAACACGTATTCAGAGATAGCAGAGAAGAGATTTTCCTTTCTAGAGACATCTTGAATAACATTCACCACATGTTGACAGTGTTTATTTCTGATCAGTGGAATTTGGGATGATATTGGTTTTTTAAAAACGAGACTTTCTGGTATTGCTCCAAGTTTTAAATGTACATATATCATTATTTAACAAATTCATTACCTAAAATGTGTGTGCCAATGGAGATAAACAGCTGACTTCAGACAATGAGGGAAGCTTTTTGCTTTTCATTTATCCTAAAAATTTGAGCAGACCACGTTTTGAAATGTTCATCTCCATCAAATAAATAAATCCTCCATAATATTTATTTCCAATTTCTATATTTTTCAATGTTTTCCTTTCAACTTTTAGGTCTGGGCATACACGTGCACGTTTGTTGCCGCAGGTAAATTGCGTGTTGCTGGGGTGTGGGTTACGAATGACCCTGTCGCCCAGGCACTGTGCACAGTACCCGAGAGTGAGCTTTCAGCCCTTGCCCTGCTCCCTATCCCCCTGGTGTCTCCAGTGTCTGTGGTTCTCATCTTCGTGTCCATGTGTGCTCAGTGGTTAGCTCCCACGTGAACATGAGAACGTGCGGTATTTGCTTTTCTGTTCCTGTGCTCGTTTGCTAAGGATGATAACCTCCAGCTCCATCCATGTTCCCATAAAAGACATGATCTTGTTTTTTCGTGGCTGCGTAGTATTCCGTGGTGTGTATGGACCCCATTTTCTGTATCCCGCCCACCACTAATGGGTATCTAGGTTGAGTCCATGTCTTCGCTAACATGCGAGTGCAGGTGTCTTTTTGGTAGAGAGATTTGTTTTCTTTTGGATACATACCCAGTACTGGGACTCCTGGTTGGAATGGCAGCTCTGTTATAAGTTCTTTGAGAAATCTCCAAGCTGCTTTCCACAGTGGCTGAATTAACTTACATTCCCACCAACATCGTATATATAAGTGTTCCCTTCTCTCTGCAACCTCACCAACATCTGTTATTTTTTCTTTTTCTTCCCCTCCTTTCCTTTCCTTTTTTTTTTTTTTTTTTAAGATAAGGTCTCACTCTGTTGCCCAAGCTGAAGTGCAGTGACACAATCTCAGCTCACTGCAACCTCAAACTCCTGGGCTCAAGTGATCCTCCCGTCTCAGCCCTTCAAGAATCTGAGACCACGGGCACGTGCTACCACGCCCAGCTAATCTGTATTTTTTGTAGAGATGGAGTCTCACCATGTTGCCCAGGCTGGTCGCAAACTCCTGGCCTTGAGCTGTCTTCCTGCCTCAGCCTTCCAAAGTGCTGGGATTATAGGCATGAGCCACTGCACCTGGCCAGAAAAAAAATGTGGTTAAAAGTTTATAGATAACCCTCACTTTAATAATGGGTAAAATAAGCTATACAAAGTCTGTTAGCACTCACGTCCCAGCTGGAGAAAGGTCTTTGAATATCAGTTTCGCACAAGGTTTGAGTAGGGGTCTATTAGCCTCTATTTAATACATTGTACTCAGTTTGAGTAGGGGTGCATTATCCTCTATTTAAATATATTGTATTCAGTTTGAGTAGGGGTCTGTTAGCCTCTGTTGAATTAGGTTGTACTCAGTTTGAGTAGGGGTCTATCAGCCTCTATTTAATTACATTGTACTCAGTTTGAGTAGGAGTCTATCGGCCTCTATTTAACTACATTGTACTCAGTTTGAGTAGGGGTCTGTTAGCCTCTGATGAATTACATTGTACTCAGTTTGAGTAGGGGTCTATTAGCCTCTATTTAATTACATTGTATCCAATCTGTGTTTACACAAATTTCACAACTTTTTTATGGCTCCATGAAACAACAATGACTTTTGGTAGATTTTTCTTGTCTCTTCTGTTACATGGCCTTCATTTTTTTCTTTAATATCACCCTTATATCTGTCTGAGCTGGGAATAAGTTAATAAACCGTCTTTATTCAACACTGATTCTCAGAAAAGGGCAGAGGCAGGTCAAGGCCTAGATTTTCTGATTGCGACATAGAAATAGGATTGCCTGAAAAACTCAATAAATCTCTCCACTTTTCCAATGGGAAATTATTTGAAGAACAAGGCACAAAAATCTTCAAATATTGTCTCGATGAAATCACATAACTGCTTCTTATTAAACTTGTAAGACACTTTACAAAGAGTAATTTTACTCTTAATGGCACATTAATGCAGGTATTTGCCAAATCTGGACCAAATGCATCTCTTGTTTGCTGCTATTGAATAAAAGAGAGGGAGGAAAAAATACTGATAGTAAGGCCGCCACTCCTACTATTCTACTTGCGAATAAAGAAAGAATAGGCCAGGCATGGTGGCTCACGCCTGTAATCCCAGCACTTTGGGAGGCTGAGGCGGGCGGATCACGAGGTCAGGAGATTGAGAACATCCTGGCCAACATGGTGAAACCCCATCTCTACTAAAAATACAAAAATTAGCCGGGCGTGGTGGCACACACCTGTAGTCCCAGCTACTCAGGAGGCTGAGACAGGAGAATCGCTTGAACCCGGGAGGTGGAGCTTGCAGTGAGCAAAGATCGCGCCACTGCACTCCAGCCTGGCGACAGAGCAAGACTCCGTCTCAAAATAAATAAATAAATAAAAAAGAATATTTTACCCAGGAGTTTTATTTGACTTCGGAAAAGGAGAACATGCAAACACAGCCTTGAGTGTCACTCAGCTGCCAGGTTTCTCAGGATCAAATACAGAAGGTCAGGCGGGGGGTAGTGCCTGGTGTCAACGCTCATGCAGTCATGATGGACGGCAGAGGGGACTCCAGAAGACGCTGGCAAGGACGGGAGAGGGCACGTCAGCAATGCAGCCACCCCGCCCGACTCTAAGAAAAAGCTGTTGCTGAAGCTCAGGGCAGAGGGTCCCGTGAGGCGTGCGTGCCCTCACTGATGCTGCAGCCCCAGAAGGCATGGTCACGTTGTCTCGGTCTGGCAGCCGCTCTGGCCTGCAGCAGCCCCCACAGTGTGATCTGCTAGAGGTCCGCAATCGTCCCAGGTGTTAGCTTCAAACCCCAGACAGGTGGAAGCTCCTTGCTGAGGGGGCCTGGTTTCCACAGCCCCTGTGCACTGTACAGCCCTCCCTCGGGTCGTCGGGCACACAGTGGCATCAGGAATGTTTTCTGCTTGCCATCAGCTGGTGGATGTGCAAAGCAATCAGAAGTTCTCACTGGCAGCCTCAGAGCTGGCTTAGGAGTGTCTGACTTGCTGATTTTTAGGGTTTTCCGCAGAGACACAGGCACTATAGGAGCTCTTCCCAGGACGGCCCACAGAACCAGGTGCACAGCAGAGCAGCCAGATGACCGGCAGGTGTGCCCTGCAGCTGCGTCTGTCCTGGTCCTGCCACTCACGCTGCAGAAATCATAGCCTGAGACATGTTTTATGACAAGTTCTGGAAAATTGCAGTGAAGCATTTTGTTCTAGTCAGGGCAGCGTATCACAACCCCTCTGTGTGCAGTGGAGATGGCGTCTTCAGGAAGGGCACGGCAGCATGGGGAGGGCTGGGGCGGGCACAGTAGCACAGGGAGGGTGGGGGAGAGCATGGTGGCACGGGGAGGGCTGGGGAGGGCACGGCTGCAGGGGGAGGGTCAGGGAGGGCATGGCGGCACGGGGAGGGCATGGCAGCACAGAGAGGGTGGGGGAGCGCATGGTGCAGGGGGAGGATTGGGGAGGGCATGGTGGCACAGGAAGGGCATGGCAGCACAGAGAGGGTGGGGGAAGGCATGGTGTCTTGGGGAGGGTCGGGAAGAGCATGGTGGTACAGGAAGGGCACGGCAACACAGGGAGGGTGGGGGAGGGCATGGTGGCACAGGAAGGGCATGACAGCACAGAGAGGTTAGGGGAGGGCATGGTGGCTTGGGGAGGGTCAGGAAGGGCACGGTGGTACAGGAAGGGCACAGCAGCACAGGGAGTGTCAGGGAGGGTATGGTGGCACAGGGAGGGCCAGTGGGGAGCTGCTCTCCCAGGCCCAGTGGGTGACACGCCCAGGCCACAGCAGCAAATGGGCCTTCTGGAGTCCAGGCCTGGTGGAGGAGCCGGGCTAGAATTCTGCAGGCTCATGGCTCACCCGACAGCCAGACTAACTCCAGACACACGAACCAGGCCACGGGGACCAACCAGCCACACCTGTGCCCCAGAGGTCTGAAGGGCACAAGTGACCAGCAGAACTGCTCAGCAGCCTGGAGCAGCTCAAACGCCAACCACGGAACCGTGGGCAAACGCGGTGGCTGTGTCGGCCACTCAGTATTAGAGTTGTTTTGGGGTAGTTGCCATGCGTGGTGAATACAGATCCAGGCATCTTTTTAAATTATTATTATTTATTTATTTTCTCTTTTTTTTTTCCACGATGGAGTCTCACCCTGTTGCCCAGGCTGGAGTGCAGTGGCGCAATCTCAGCTCACTGCAAACTTCACCTCCCGGTTCAAGTGATTCTCCTGCCTCCGCCTCCTGAGTAGCTGGGATTATAGGTGCACATCACCACGTCCAGCTAGTTTTTATATTTTTAGTAGAGATGGGGAATTCACCATATTGGCTAGGCTGGTCCTCAACTCCTAACCTCAGGTGATGCACCTGCCTTGGCCTCCCAAAGTGCTGGGATTCAGGCCTGAGCCACCGCGCCCGGCTGAGATCCAGATACCTTTGCTGCATTTGCACGAAGGGACTAGGTGGGCTAGTGGCTGGGTATAAAGGACCGTCACTTAACAGCCATTTAAATAAAAGTGTTGCCGCTAAAAAAATGCCTGGCAAACCTGTTCTGGTTAAATGTCTTGCTTAACTGAAATTTCTAGCATAAATAAAAATCCACTTTTTTAGAGAATTTGAAATTTGTGATATTCAAATACAGGATAGTAACGTGTACAAAACGTGTGTCACATTAGAGCATCCTCCGGCTGCCCAGGATATGCTCAGGGATGATGGCTTCATCCGATCGAATTCACAGAGTGGGCCTGTTGTTCTCATTTGAGACTGAGTCCATTCTTTCCTCTTCCATGAAGACTTTTCCCCAACAGTTAAATATTTCAGTTTCACCTGTTGTTGTTTCACAGCTCAACATGAAACATCAGATATCCCTCTTTGTCCCCCTGAGGATATTAGCTAGGTAGATTCTTAACATGTCCTGCTCCAATTCTAATATTAGCTCTGCTGCCCTGGCGGCAGCTTCTCTCCTGTTGCAGTGTTTCCCTGCAACGGTGCCGGCTTTCCTTGGAGTTTGGTGACGATTGATATGGATGTGGCTTTGTGGTTGGCTGCCTGCCCAGCTCCCAGGGGCGAGGGGCTCCTCCTGCCCCAGCCCTGCCTGTCAGTGCCCCCGCCTGTGGCCCCACCGACCGTCCCATCCACCCCATCTGTCCACATGGAGTTCACACGTGTCTGAGCCCTTCTTGTTCTTCAGGTCAGTCCGGATGCCTCAAATAACGTCTCTATCATTTCTGTAGCTCTGGTGTGGGAAGAATGAACATGAGGGCATGCTCAGGCCAGCACCTTCATGCTTTAACCGTGGTGCAGGTGTGTGCCTCGTGCTTCAGGAACACCGTGACATCTACCACCCAGGTCCACGCAGACACGTGTTGTCCTGCGAGGCCTGAGAGGCAGATGTACACAGTGGACAGAGGGAGCCTGGCCTGGCCCTCCAGCCTCCCCCAGCACTGCCCCTGGCCAGCATGGGCTGGCCCCGGGTGACCGTCCAGCGAAGGTCATCGAGCCACAGCAAGGGTGAGAGTGGGACCGAGTCTCCAGAGTACGCGCCTCCAGCGTCCACTCCACGCCATCTGCACGGTGGTGGTTGGTTAGTGGATGGGTAAGCTGAAGGGTGCGTGAATGATACGGTGCTTGGTGAGTGGATGAGTGAGCTGATGGGTGCGTGAATGATACGGTGCTTGTGAGTGGATGGGTGAGCTGATGGGTGCGTGAATGATATGGTGCTTGGTGAATGGATGGGTGAGCCGACGGGTGTGTGAACCATACGGTGCTTGTGAGTGGATGGGTGAGCCGATGGGTGCCTGAACGATACGGTGCTTGGTGAATGGACGGGTGAGCCGACGGGTGCGTGAACGATACGGTGCTTGGTGAGTGGACGGGTGAGCCGACGGGTGCGTGAACCATACGGTGCTTGTGAGTGGACGGGTGAGCCGACGGGTGCGTGAACAATACGGTGCTTGTGAGTGGACGGGTGAGCCGACGGGTGCGTGAACGATACGGTGCTTGTGAGTGGACGGGTGAGCCGACGGGTGCGTGAACGATACGGTGCTTGTGAGTGGACGGGTGAGCCGACGGGTGCGTGAACGATACGGTGCTTGTGAGTGGACGGGTGAGCCGACAGGTGCGTGAACCATACGGTGCTTGTGAGTGGACGGGTGAGCCGACGGGTGCATGAATGAATATGGGAGAACACAGGGTGGCCGTCGTCATGGGGCTGGGTGAGGCTCGTCTCAGGGTAAGCAGCTTCACCAGGGAGGGTTGTGGTCTTGCTCAGTCCTGGAGGTGGCTGGTGTCTGCCCCACAGCTGCTGGCCATGAGGACATGCTCGGCCCGGGCACATCCCCTCCACACCCTCAGTTCCTAGGCATGACGCTGCGTTTTGATGAATGTGAGCTGAAATATGCTGTTTTGAGTAGATCAGACACAGTCAGTGTTTCCACTGCACAGCAGCTCGGGAAATGAGGGAAAAGGCGAAGACCAGGACAGTGAAAGGCTGAGGAAGTCAGGGAGGGTGGGGCCGATGGGACTTCAGAGGCCAGCAGGGATGTGGGCTGGGCCTGGTGAAACATAGGGCTGAGGCTTGGGCAGCGCCCACAGGGAGGACCAGGGAGGGGGCCGCACCCGCCTTCTGCGCCTCTCAGCTAGGGCTTTTCCTGCAGAGTAATGTCAGCGAGAACGTGCTATGAACATGCAGACACCCAAAGCAGGGAGTGGTGCTTTCCCAGGATCTGCAGGCAGAATATTCGGGTCCGGGGCAGCTGCTGGGTGGGCTCCAGACACACCCTGCTGGGCTCTGGGCAGGGCTGCTGCCTGGCCCTGGGAAGGGCTGGTGGTCGGCAGGCCCTGGGACCCTTGGGGCCGGCACTGTGCTGTTAAACATCCAGGACCCTCCACAATCGAACAAGGACTGGAGGCTACATCAGAAAGCGTGTGTTTCATCAACATAAATCCAGGTAGAACTCGTATTTGGCTCCATCCACGGCCCTCCCATTGCAGGCCGACGCCAGCCCAGCCCCGGAACTGATCTCATCTTGCAGGAGTTTCTGAAAGAGCTGGAGATGCTTCTACCCCTCCTAGGAATACTACAGGTTTCTAAACATAGAGGAAATGCACCAGCACGTTTTCCTTTAAGCTTCTGAAACCCAGATATCAAAAACAAATAAGTTAACGGGTAATTATTTTCTTTACTCGACCCAAGGATTTATATAGAAAGTTTATATTAAGATGGAATTTCATCTACAAAAGTTTGATGTGCCTAGATTTTATTTTATTTTATTTATTTTATGACAGAGTTTTGCTCTTGTTGTCCAGGCTGGAGTGCAATGGCAAGATCTCGGCTCACTGCAACCTCAGTCTCCTGGGCTCAAGTGATTCTCCTGCCTCAGCCTCCTGAGTAGCTGGGATTACAGGCACCCATGACCACGCCCAGCTATTTTTTTGTTTGCTTATTTATTTATTGAGATGGAGTTTCCATCTTGTAGCTCAGGCTGCAGTGCAATGGCATGATCTCAGCTCACCACAACCTCTGCTTCCCAGATTCAAGCGATTCTCCTGCCTCAGCCTCCCAAGCTAGGATTACAGGAATGCACCACCACGCCTGACTAACTTTGTATTTTTAGTAGAGACAGGATTTCTCCATGTTGGTCAGGCTGGTCTCAAACTCCCAACCTCAGGTGATCTGCCTGCCTTGGCCTCCCAAAGTGCTGGGATTACAGGCGTGAGCCACCATGACCGGCTATTTTTAATATTTGTTCGTAGATGTGGTTTCACCATATTGGCAGGCTAGTCTCGAACTCCTGACCTCAGGTGATCCACCCGCTTCAGCCTCCAAAAGTGCTGGGATTACAGGTGTGAGCCACTGCGCCCGCCTGCCTAGATATTAAATAACGTAAACACTCAACACAGATTGGACCCCCTCCTAGATTGATGCAGGATGTCTGCTTTAGTGAAGCATGGCCTTCGTGGGTCTGAGAACAGCCAGACGGCCACCCTGAGCTTCGTCTGGAGTGACTGGACCGGGCAGCTGAACTGACTTGCTGCAGCCGATTGCACAGGGTGGGTTTGTGGCAGGAACCTGGACACACTGATCCGAGAGAATGGGAGATCAGAGAGCACTGTGGGGTGTTGGGGGTCCAGAGGGACGGAGGCTCTGTCTCCCACCACCGCATCCCCAGAGCTGAATACCAGTGTCCAACACATAGTAGGTGCTCACTAAACATGTACTGAACGTGTGGACAAATTCAGGGGAGAATGGATACACAGAGCACTTGTGTGTGAAGCAAAAGCCCAGGATTCCACGTTCTGTCTGTTACGTCCTGGCCACGTGACCATCTCTCCACACAGTGGTACCCCTGACACGTACTGTATCCATGTCACGTGATGCTGGGCATGGTGATGATGGCGTGACCTTTTCCCACACAGTGAAACCCCTGACACGTACTGTATCCCTGTCACATGACGCCGGGCGTGGTGATGATGGCGTGACCTTTTCCCACACAGTGATACCCCTGACACGTACTGTATTCCTGTCACATGACGCCGGGTGTGGTGATGATGGTGTGACCTTTTCCCACACAGTGATACCCCTGACATGTACTCTATCCATGTCACGTGACGCTGGGCATGGTGATGATGGCGTGACCTTTTCCCACACAGTGAAACCCCTGACACATACTGTATCCCTGTCACATGACGCCGGGCGTGGTGATGATGGTGTGACCTTTTCCCACACAGTGAAACCCCTGACACGTACTGTATCCCTGTCACATGACGCCGGGCGTGGTGATGATGGTGTGACCTTTTCCCACACAGTGATACCCCTGACATGTACTCTATCCATGTCACATGACGCCGGGCATGGTGATGATGGTGTGACCTTTTCCCACACAGTGATACCCCTGACATGTACTCTATCCATGTCACGTGACGCTGGGCATGGTGATGATGGTGTGACCTTTTCCCACACAGTGATACCCCTGACATGTACTCTATCCATGTCACGTGACGCTGGGCATGGTGATGATGGTGTGACCTTTTCCCACACAGTGATACCCCTGACATGTACTCTATCCATGTCACGTGACGCCGGGCATGGTGATGATGGCGTGACCTTTTCCCACACAGTGAAACCCCTGACACGTACTGTATCCCTGTCATGTGACGTGGGGAGTGGTGATGATGGTGTGACCTTTTCCCACACAGTGATACCCCTGACATGTACTCTATCCATGTCACGTGACGCTGGGCATGGTGATGATGGCGTGACCTTTTCCCACACAGTGAAACCCCTGACACGTACTGTATCCCTGTCATGTGACGTGGGGTGTGGTGATGATGGCGCCACCGTTGCTCAGCGTGCTGCACGGGCATGTCCCCTGTTGCTGTCTGTCTCTCGCCACTAGAATTCATCCTCCACAAGGGCGGCAACTTTGTTTTGTTCACTGCTGATTCCCAAGACCTCACACATCAGTTAGCTACAGCAGGTGTGCAGTCCGTGTGTGCCGAATGAATAGAGTGAAAGAGTTCTGGTCACCTCCCCTGGTTTCCAGTGCCCTAGTTTTGTGCTCATTCCTATCTTATCGGTGGTTGTGGCGATGCTGAACAGAAACGTTATGTTAATAACAAGGCCCAGAATTAATGCTGGTAGCTGGCGGGCAGTGGGAGTCACTGCCACATGGACAGTTGTTACCAGCATTTCAGGTGGTGTTGAGTAAGGACAGGAGAACATCTCTGCCCGCGTCATCTTTTGAATCTCATTTTCAGTGAGTCCTTCGCACCTGGTTGCTGCGTCAGGTGGCCAGACTGTGGTCACCTCACCGCCTCTTCCCTGCGCGGGTGCCACCTGGCCCAGGACCACGGTGCCCCTGACTGCCTCTTCCCTGCTGTGTTCTGCTGTCCCTTTGGTGCTCTGGGAACTCCGCTTACCCCATAAGCAGCCCATGTAGGGGTGGAAGGGACGTCACCCTGTTCCTGGGGCACAGGACGTGGATCACATCGCTTTACCTGCACTGCTGCACCTGCCTCACCTGACCAGTCCAGACCAGATGGAGGCCAGCGAGAGGGAACTGGACACCTCTGGGCAAGGGCGCCTGGGGGCCACACGCTCTCTTGCTGAGCTTCAGAGTGAAGAGCAGGTGGAGGACGGAGATAAACCCAGGCTGAGCCGTGCTTCCCCAGGCTGGACCCACTCCTGCGCTTTCCAGCTTTGTGAAGCCACCGTCTCCCCTTTCCGGAACTCTAGTTTCAGAAAATAACCAGAAATATGCAAAAAGCACAATGCACAAGGGCGGTCCTCAGGGGCTTATTAAAATAGCAAAACACTGAAGCAAAGGCAAGTAGATCACTACGCAGCCAGTAAAAATCACGCCGCACAAAACTATTTGATAAATATTCTCAATGTGTCATTTTGGGTTTATTTGGGTTTTGGTATGTTTAAGTATTGGTATTTGCTTGGAAGAGCAAGCTTAGTTTTTTTTCCCCAAATATAAATATATTTTATTTGTCTGGGTTTACTGAGGTAAAACTGACAAAAATGAATACGTATATTTATCATGTACAATGTGATGTTTTGATAGATGTATGCATTGTGAAATGACCACAAACTAGCTAACTGTTCATCACCTCACATAGTTATCTTTGCCTGTGTTTGGTGAGAACATTTGAGATCGCCTGTCCTGGGCCGGGCGCGGTGGCTCACGCCTGTAATCCCAGCACTTTGGGAGGCCGAGGCGGGCGGATCACGAGGTCAGGAGATCGAGACCACCCTGGCTAACACGGTGAAACCCCGTCTCTACTAAAAATACAAAAAATTAGCCGGGCGCGGTGGCGGGTGCCTGTAGTCCCAGCTACTCGGGAGGCTGAGGCAGGAGAATGGCGTGAACCCGGGAGGCGGAGCTTGCAGTGAGCCGAGATCGCGCCACTGCACTCCAGCCTGGGTGACAGAGTGAGACTCTGTCTCAAAAAGAAAAAAAAAAAAAATTAGCAAATATTTCCCCCAACCTGTAGGCTGCCTTTTCATTTTACTGTTTCCTTCGCTGAGTAGGAACTCTCTGGTTTGACGTAATCCCACTTATCTATGTTTGCTTTTGTTGCTTGCTATATTTTATTATGAAAGTGCTGCATTATTATAAACGGCAAATAATTTATAAGATGATATAAATTTGAAAGAGAAGCTTCCACTGTAACCTGGCTGTTGCTGCCGGTTGTTGCCAGCTGGTTGGAATGTGGGGGGCGGGTGAGGCCAGCTCCTCATAAGGTCGGGGTCCCCAGGGATGATCGTCCTTAGAAAGTTGTTGTTTTGATAAAACTCTTTCTTAAATTTATTTTGGAAAATATAAGGCATCAATCAGAAGTGGGAAATTGTGTTTTTATATTTAATTATATTTTTGAACAATTAATGATGTTGACGAACTGCTGTCACGTTAGAAGGTATTTAGTAGAAATGTACAGTGAGGAAGGAGTGCTTGAAGAATCATCTGGGGAAACGTGAGTTTCTTCCATCTGTCCTCTGTTATTTGTAGTGAAACCTAGGAGGCGGTTCTTGTTGGCAAACACAAATGGTTCTAGTCCTTTTTCTTTCATCAAAATTTATTGGCAGCGACTATGTGCCCGTGCTGTTGTAGGTTACTCTTAAGACCCCTGTGCTCTGGAGGCCTGGCCTCTGAGGCTTAGGACCTGCCCGTGTAAAGTCAGGTACGAAGCAGAAACTTCAGCTCCAGTATGTTTTGTATTTCTATCTCTGTCTCTTTTTACTTCTACAAAATGCCATCTCATCCCTTAAATCATGGCACCGAGAATGAAATACACACTCAAAGGAGATTTGTTTCTGACCACACGAAAAGGCTCTCCCCGCTCTTTTTTGTGTTTAAATGATTAGGAACCTAAAGTGGAAGTTCGGATAATTAATTCAAGACTCCATGAAGTGTACAGGCGAAGATCATCTCTTTCCGGCCCTGCTGCGGACACTAGTGCAGTGAGCAGATGCCTTCTCAGTTCCGCAGCCGCCCTCTGAGCCGTCTGATTCCTCCACGTGGACCTGGGTTTCCACACAAGCAACGAGGAAGGCAGAGCCACACACACTGCGGATAAAAAGGTAAATTCCACAGTTTAATTTCTAATCCTTGGTCCTGTTGTTTTTTGCTTCCTGAGTGAATAACCTGGACACCCGAGGTGGGAACGTGAGCTGTGGACCCTTTGCAGGCAGTTTCTGGATGTTCGGGTATGTAACTAGAGGGCAGTGCCAGCGTGAAAACTGTCAGGATGCTCAAAAGGAGAGTAATTTTCTCCAAAATATGGAGCACCTTCTTCCAGGGAGGTGTAGAGACCGGATGAACTGTTTTGGCAGGACCTCAGGACAGTCAAACCACAAGTCTCCGTGGGCTGCGGGCCTTTCTGTTGGGCTGTGTGGTCTTGAATACTCGTTTTTGCCATCTCTTCTTCAATTCTGTGACTCAGGCAGCACGGATGGCAGGGACCAATTCTGCCTGGACCAGCGTGGGTGCTGTGTTGCGACGGTCAACGTTGTCTTCTCTGCTGAGCAAGAGCAGAGCCACCTGTGTTCTGAGGTTAGCAAAACTCACAGTCCACCTTCTGCAGGATGCTTTTCCACGGCACCCAAATCCTTCGTGTATAAAGCATCGTTTTCCAGGACAACTCTTTCTTTAAACTTTTTTGTAGTAACTGCTCTCCAAATGGCATAATGCTTTCCATAAATGTCACCTGAGTGAGGGGATCTCCATTGGAATGAGCTGTGTGTGAGCAGGTTACAAAAGCAGAGAATATGTGCGTCTGCCTACTCTGCACCAATGAACAGCAGGAGTCGTGGTGTGATTTGCAAAATCCACTGCATACTAATTAGAGATTCCCTTTGCTGATTTATTATTATTATTATTATTGACAGTCTTGTTCTGTCACCCAGGCTGGAGTGTAGTGGTACGATCTTGGCTCACTGAAACCTCTGCCTCCTGAGTTCAAGCGATTCTCCTGTCTCAGCCTCCCAAGTAGCTGGGATTACAGGCACCCTCCACCATGCCTGGCTAATTTTTGTATTTTTAGTAGAGATGGGGTTTCGCCATGTTGGCCAGGCTGGTCCCGAACTCCTGACCTCAGGTGATCCACCCCCCTCGGCCTCCCAAAGTGCAGGGATTATAGGTGTAAACCACCACACCCGGCCCAATTCTATTTTTTTAAGTAATAATGACTTTGGATGGAGAATGAAAAAAGCCCATATTCTTTTATAGTAGAAAAAAAGAATAAAATGTTAGTGTTGCTCTGTATACACAGGCTCCTGCAGCAAAGTGGAGCAAAGATTCAGAAACATCATATTTCTTTTCTTTATTCAAAGGACATTGAAAATTGCAAATATTGTAGACACTACACACCCAGAAATTGGAAACAGATAAAATTGACTGGCATATTGATGCAAGCCAGGCAGGACTGGAAATTTTCTTCCTCTTTGTAGGCACAGAAGCATATACACAAGTGTAGATTTTGCCAGAGCTTCTGATTTATCCATTCCTGATTTTTATTCCATTATTCTTAGATGTGCACCTGGAAGATATTCATTGTAAGACTTCTTCTAGACTCAGGCAAACGAAAACTTTAGCTCTACCATTTGTATTCACTGAAACAAGAACACTAAGATATTTGCTAACTCAAAGCAATTGAAATATTAGCTTGTCTTTGGTTCACAGCTGTGGCCCGTTTGGCTGGAATGTGTGATTGGTTGTGAAGTTGCACCTTCCTGTGAGGTATTGCTGATGTTATTCTGGAGAGGGGGAAGGTTACCATACCACGCTCTGTCATATCACAAAGATGAGAGGGATTGGTTTGGCTTGAGCAGACAAAGATATATTTCATAGAGTGGATGTGACGTGATGAGAAAGGAGAGTTGATGCTTCTGGAATTTGGTAATGCCGTTAGGCTGAACCTTCCCACTGAAATGAAATCACACAAGGCCTGCATCTGGGGAAGGGAAAATACCAGAAAGCACTAAAGATCTGAAACTTCAAGGTCAGTTACTGGATGGACACAGAAGGGCTTGGGAATTCCAGGGCCATGGGCCGCCTCTGTCTGGAGGGAGGTATTTCCCTGGATGGACATAGAGGGCTAGAGAATTCCAGGGTCATGGGCCACCTCTGTCCGGAGGGAGGTATTTCCCTGGATGGACACAGAAGGGCTAGAGAATTCCAGGGCCATGGGCCACCTCTGTCCGGAGGGAGGTATTTCCCTGGATGGACACAGAAGGGCTAGAGAATCCCAGGGCCATGGGCCACCTCTGTCCGGAGGGAGGTATTTCCCTGGATGGACACAGAAGGGCTTGGGAATCCCAGGGCCATGGGCCACCTCTGTCTGGAGGGAGGTATTTCCCTGGATGGACACAGAAGGGCTTGGGAATCCCAGGGCCATGGGCCACCTCTGTCCGGAGGGAGGTATTTCCCTGGATGGACACAGAAGGGCTTGGGAATCCCAGGGCCATGGGCCACCTCTGTCCGGAGGGAGGTATTTCCCTGGATGGACACAGAAGGGCTTGGGAATCCCAGGGCCATGGGCCACCTCTGTCCGGAGGGAGGTGTTTCCCTGGATGGACACAGAAGGGCTTGGGAATCCCAGGGCCATGGGCCACCTCTGTCCGGAGGGAGGTGTTTCCCTGGATGGACACAGAAGGGCTTGGGAATCCCAGGGCCATGGGCCACCTCTGTCCGGAGGGAGGTATTTCCCTGGATGGACACAGAAGGGCTTGGGAATCCCAGGGCCATGGGCTGCCTCTGTCCGGAGGGAGGTATTCCCTGCACACCCTTGGCTCTCAGGGTGGAGAGGCCTGGGGCGGGGACGGTGAGGTGAGGCCTGCTCAGGGTGGGAAATCAGGGGAAGACTCATCCACATCAACATGGTGCCCGTCCCTTGCCCGGCCCTGGGAACTCCCAAGAGAGAGATGCCCAACACCGAACCGACTGAAGGAGAAGGAAAAGAGCCTCCCGGCCGGGATTTGTTCTGCATGGCAGACTGTGATTTCGTGAGCTCTAGGAAGGCTTTCAGGAATAACACTGATCTCACACATTTGCTTTCAGAAAACAGGAAAAGCACCAGCACATCCTAACTTGTTGTATGAGACCGGCACAGCCTTGATGAGAAAACCAGGTGAAAACATTGCCAGAAAGGAAAATTAACTGCGGGCTAATCTCCCTCCTCAACACAGTGCAGAAACCCTTAACAAAGTATCAGCAAGTTGAGATCAGTAATAGAAGGAGGAAAAATACCTCATTACCAAAGTCGATGTATTCTCAGAATAGATGTAGCCTTAGAAAACCAATCAGAATAATTCATCACACCGATACGTTAAAGGAGAAAAAGAATATGATCACCTTAGAGATTTATAACAAGCATTGGACAGAGTTCAGCATGTGTTCCTTATTTAAAAAGAAGCCTCTTAGCAATCTAGAAACGGACAGGAACTTCCTCAATCTGATAAAGGATGGCTGCAAAAGGCCCACAGCAAATGTCATACTTAATAGTGAGATGTTAACAATTTGCCTTAGAGAGGAAGACGAGATAAGAGTGTCAGCTGACAACACTCCTTTCTAACTTTGTGAGAGAGGTCCCAGCCAGTGCAGCAAGTGATAAAAAGCAATAACACTTATAAAGATTATGAAGGAATAAATAAAAGTACCATTATTCACAGACTATCACGCACATAGAAAAACCAATCTAGATAAATTACTAGAATTAACAGTAATCGAGTTTGCAAGGTTATTGAATATAAGGATTAAAGTTACATTTCTGTATTCAAGAAAGAAATTAAAAAAAATTTTTTTAGGCCAGGCGTGACAGCTCAGGCCTGTAATCCCAGCACTTTGGGAGATCGAGGTGGGCAGATCAGGAGGTCAAGAGATTTAGACCATCCTGGCCAACATGGTGAAACCCTGTCTCTACTAAAAATACAAAAATTAGCTGGGCATGGTTGTTGGCGCCTGTAATCCCAGCTACTTGGGAGGCTGAGGCAGGAGAATTGCTTGAACTAGGGAGGTGGAGGTTGCAGTGAGCTGATATCGCGCCACTGCACTACAGCCTGGTGACAGAGAAAGACTTCATCTAAAAGAAAAAAAATTTAGATATATAACTAAAGTAGCATCAAAAAATGTCAGATGGCTAGAAATAAATCTAACAAAAGGGCCTCTCCAGGTAAAGTTATGAAACTTCATGTGAGACACTGGAAGAGCCTACAGATACAAAGCCATGAATGTTCATGGATTAGCAGCACCACACAGGTGCCACACAGACCCCACACAGGTGCCACGCAGATGCCACGCCATCATCTGGGCCCTTCCCACGTTAACTGTGCAATTTCACGTGGCCTCAGTCACACTTCCACAGGTTTTTCATTTGTTTGTTTAGTGACATTTTAAAGCCACCTCTAGAATGTATATGGAATTGCAAAGTGCCATGGGTAGCCAAGACAGCCCTGAACACTGTAGGAAGACCGGCTGTGTTAAATGTGAAGTCGTGTTGTAGAGCTGGGTAACCACAATGTGCTAATGGTAGGCGAGCCAGCCACGTGGGTAGAAGAGAAAACTCAGAAACAATCATGTGTGTGTGATTTATGGCTGTGTGAGGATGCACTTCAGGTCAGTGCAGCAATGGTGGATTTTTTTCAACAGACAGTGTTGGGAAAACTGACTAATCAAAATAGTTAAAAACAAACAAAAAGGCTGGGCATGGTGGCTCACACCTGTAATGCCAGCACTTTGGGAGGCCGAGGCAGGTGGATCACCTGAGGTCAGGAGTTCAAGACCAGCCTGGCCAACATGGTGAAACCCCATCTCTACTAAAAATACAAAAAAATTAGCTGGGCGTGGTGGCATGCACCTGTAGTCCCCACTACTCAGGAGGCCAAGGCAGGAGAATCACTTGAACCGGGAGGCAGAGGTTGCAGGGAGCAGAGATTGCACCACTGCACTCCAGCCTAGACGACAGAGTGAGACTCCATCTCAAAAATAAATAAATAAATAAAAATAAAGAACTCTTTTAACTATATAAACAAGAATGAATAAACGGAGTGAACACTGACATGTCGAATCCAGCATCCAGAACCACACTCAGAGCCGCACACAGCTGACTTCCCTTCTCTTGGGAACATGGTCTGCTCTCTTGGCTCCTCATGTGCTGGGTAATTTTGGCTCCTCATGTGCTGGGTAATTTTTCATTGCATTCTGGTCATAAAAACTGAGCTGGGGAGTTCGGAATCGGTTATTTTCCTCCGTGATTATTGCTTCCTTTGCTTGGTAGGTAGTTTCTTTGGCTGGGCATGAACTTAAAACTTGTTTCTTGAGTGGCAATTTCAGTCCATTCATCTCCTCTGTCCTCAGCAGGGTGACTGCGTCTGTTGTATGTGTGGTTCAGGATCAATGGGTTATGAGGAAAGGTGGAGTCTGAGGACTGCTTCTCTGGCTTTTTCACTTACGGGATTTCCCTGCCTTGGCATTCAAATCCTGTTCCCAGCCTTTCCCGTCGTTTCCCTTCCCAACAAAGGCTGCAGGCTCTTCCCCATGGGTTCTCTACCTGCCTGTCCCTGTGCTCACTGTGTGGACTGTGCTTGGTCTAAACTAAAAGCCCGGACATGGGAACTCACTTGCGTAGCTCCTATGCAGCTCCTCCAGAGGGTGGCCTGACCAGGATCCTGTCTGCTTGATTGTGCCACATTTGCTTCGGGTGGAGGATGCTCACCTTCTGTGGTAGGTGCAGGTGTTATTATTTTCTGCAGTGGGGGAGGGGGTCACCTGGTAGAGTCTTAGTCCAGAACTAAGACCAGAAGTAGAAAACATCAAGATCTAAACATGGAAGCGCAAGCTTTTGGAAGGGACTATTGGAGGATGTTGCCGTGGCCTTGGGGGAGGGAAAGATTTCCCCAACAAGACACAGTATGCATCAACCACACATGAAAAAAGATTGCTCAATTTAACACACTAAAATGAAGAAACTTATCCATCGAAGCACACCATAAAAAGAATGAGAAGAGAAGTCAGACTGTTGGAAATGATATTGGAAAAGGACTAGTATCTAGAATACATAAAGAACATCTATAAATCACAGCAAAAGGCCAGGATGATCAATAGAACATGAGCCAAAGACTTGAATGAGCAAATCACAAAAAGGCTGATGCAAAAATGGCCAATCCATCTGTCACTGTGTTTGATCTCATCAGCAAGCAGAGTCCCAAACCACAGAAATGCTCAGTGGTGCTGCCATCTCGCCATCATGTCAGTAAGGTTTACAGCTTGACACCATCACGTGTTAACCAGGATGTGGAGTATCAGGGACCCTCAAATCCACTGAAGGGATTGTAAATGGATGCCATCACTGAGGAACGGCCTCATGTTATCCAGTAAAGTTGAAGACAATCACACCAGCTCTCCCCCTAGGAATATACCTCAGAGATCTGAGTGTGAGTCTGTGTGTGTGTCTAAAGATCTGTGTACCAGCATAGTGTCTCAAAGTGTCATATTATTACTGTTAATAATAGCCCCAAATTGCAAGCCACCCAAATGCCCATCAATAATAGAATTGATAAGTAAGCTGAAGTATATTTATTCTATGGGATTCTGTTCAACAATGAAGATAAGAGAATGGCAGTTATAGATAACAGTGTGGATGAATCTTACAAATATAATGATGAGAGGGAAAAGCAGTCCCAGAAGAGTGTATAGCATGGGTGGCTGGGCACTGTGGCTCCCACCTGCAATCCCAGAGCTTTGGGAGGCTGAGGCAGGAGGATCACTTGAGGCCAGGAGTTTGAGACCGGCCTGGGCAGCATAGTGAGACCCCGTCTCTACAAAAAATCTTTTAAAAAATAATACATAATGTGATTCAATTTATGTAAAATTCAATAACATGCAAAACCAAACTGTATATTCTAGGGAGGTACACACATGTAAAACTGTAAAGAAAAGCAAAGCAATGACCACTAAAAATGTCAGATACCTGTTTGAGGTGGGGGTTGTGATTGGCAAGGGACGCATGGAGACTTGTAATGTTGTCTTTCTTGTTCTGGGTGGTGGCTACAAGTTGTCAGATTTACCAACCTTGACTAAATTGCATATAAATGTCTGTACATATTTGTGAATGTCAACATTACAAATATTATGAGCGATGACTATGTTGTAGTCTTAAAATCAACAAAAGCAAACCCGTGAAGCATGTATTTTAAAGGGACGGCACGAGGAACACATCTGCAAACTCCTCTTTCTGGCTCTTCTCTTCCTTGGAGCCTGGAAAGCTAAAGCTGACCATCAGACACTGCCTCAACCATCCAGGTAGGGGTGGATGTCCCTGGCTCAGGCACTTCTTTGCAAGAACAAGTCCAAGCTTCAAAGGAAGATGTTTCTTTTCCCCTTTACACTTCTCCTCTTTCTGCAGCCACAAGGATGGTGCAGTGGGAAGAGGGGAGGGTCTGGTTCCCAATGGCAGGGCTGAGGTACCCTGTGGCTGCGTGCCCCTACCTCAGGGCTTCCTGTTGGGTCAGAGAAATGGTGTTCTTTGATGTTGTTGAGTTTTCTGTTAGGAGAAGCTGTTACTTAGACAATGGCCTGGAATGGAGAGGACACATCCTAGTTGAAGCTCTGCAATTTAACACTGCAGATTTAATGTGAGGCAAGTCACTTAACCTTGAGAATTCTTCTGTTTCTTTTAAAAAATCAATTGATTGGTTGCTTCAGAAAATCTTTAAGGGTCCTTCCAGCATATGAGTCTCTGATTGCGTAACTGTGCTCACTTTTCCACATTTCCTGGGAAGAGTGCTATGCAGTAGCTTAGGAGATTTAGTAGTAAGCAATGCAGGGACTGTACTGTCTGAACTTCTATTATCTTGATTCCGTGAACTATTTAAAAACAGAGCAATAAAAACCAACTAGGACCTGGAGGCCTATAAAACAATACTATTCAATTTTCTAAGAACACTTATTCAAGGAGAAGAATATATTTTAATAGCTATTGAACTGGATTCTTGCAGAGCCCAGCCTAATCTCCTGGTAATGTTAGGCGTTTTTAGAACCTGCGTTAACTCCTCTGGTCCATAATCCAGAGAAAACTGAAGTAGTGACTCAGAACTTTGACCTTTTGTTTTGAGACAGAGTCTCACTGTGTCACCCAGAGAGAGTGGAATGCAGTGGTGCAATCACAACTCACTGTAACCTCTGCCTTCCAGGTACAAGCGATCCTTCCACGTCAGCCTCCTGCAGCCCCCGCCTTCCAGGTGCTATTGATCCTCCCACCTCAACCTCCTGCAACCTCTGCCTCCTGGGTGCAATTGGTCCTCCCACCTCAGCCTCCTGCAACCCCCACCTCCTGGGTGCTATTGATCCTCCCACCTCAGCCTCCTGAGTAGTTGGGACTACAAGTGCACACTACCACACTATACTAGTCTGTTCTCACACTGCTAATAAAGAAATACATACCCAAGCCTGGGTAATTTATAAAGAAAAATAAGTTTAATGGATTCACAGTTCCACATGGTTGGGGAGGCCTCACAATCATGGTGGAAGGTGAAGGAGGAGCAAAGGCAGGTCTTACATGGTGGCAGGCAGTGAAGCCTATGCAGGGGAACTGCCCTTTATAAATCCAACAGATCTCATGAGACTTTTTCACTTTCATGAGAACAACACGGGAAAAACCCACCCCATGATTCAATTACCTCCCACCGGGTCCCTCCCGTAGGGATTATGGGAGCTGCAATTTAAGATGAGATTTGGGTGGGGACACAGCAAAACCATATCACACACCCAGCTAATTTTTATATTTTTTTTGTAGAGATGGGGTCTCACTATGTTGCCCAAGCTGGTCTCAAACTCCTGGGCTCAGGTGATCCTCCTGCCTCAACCTCCCCAAGTGCTAGGTTATAGGTGTGAGCCACTGTGCCTGGCCTATATTTTTTTCAAAAAACTTTAAAAATGTCAAAAATATGAAAAGACAGTAGGAACCCAAATTACAGTACAAAAGTCTGTAGAGAATTTTCAAGCGTGTGTGTATATTAAATGTATGAAAGGGTCTGTGACCATCAAACCAGGCTTATGCCCTGCTGGGCCCACACTAGATCTTGGTTCCTCGGCCACTTGGGACAAGAGGAGGAGAAATCAGCTCCAGTACCCAGAGTCATAAAGAAGAGCCTCCTGGTGCGAGGCTGGGAACCCAAAGGGAATCACACACACAGCAGAGGTGAGCCGTATCTAAACCTACACTCCACGCACCTACAGGGGATTTTCAAGAAAGCTGCTTTGGAAATGAATCGACAGGAAAGAAATCGGGGAAAAAATTTCCAGAGAATTTCTCTGGGACCACAGACCAGCTCCTGCGTAGACTTGTACTGGGTACATGTGATCTATGACTGGGAGGCCAAGGAAAATCAAGCCGTGGAGTTGACTTGAGATGGTTGAGGCTGTAAGTGCCCCTAACATTCCTAGAAGGAAACAGGAAAGCTTGTAAAGGAGGGTGTATACATTCGGGATCTCGGGTCACCAACAGCAGTAAATTCCAAGATCAGTGGCCAGCAGGTAGCCATTTAATAACATCTATTGGACACTATAGCCAATTGCAGAAGACACATATTTTCTAGTAGGGATTACAAGATACCCAAAGTAATGGCGATGCGGTGGTGGGGAGACAACATGAATGAGAATCAGGAGAAACAAAAATAACGGAAGCAGAACTGGACAGGTTTTAAAGAGTGAAATGATCAGATATGCATTTTGAAACAACCAAACATAGCATGTTTAAAGAAATGAAATAAAAATTTGAAATTTATGCAGAGAAATTTGAAACTATAAAAAATAATATGGTCCACTTAAGAACAGAACTTCTAGGCTGGGTGTGGTTGCTCACACCTGTAATCTCAGCATTTTGGGAGGCTCAGGTAGGAGGATCGCTTGAGGCCAGGAGGTCAAGAGCAGCCTAGGCAATAGAGTGAGACCCTATCTCTACAAAAAAAAATTTAAAACTTAGCCAGGTATGGTGACACATGCCTGTGGTCCCAGGTACTCAGAAGGCTGAAGCTGGAGGATTGCTTGAGCCCAGGAGGTCGAAGCTACAGGGAGCCATGATCGCACCACTGTGCTTCAGGCTGAGCAGTAGCAAAGAGACAACAGAACTTCTAAAAATAAATATAATAACCAAAATTTAAAGCTCAGTGGATACACTATAAGACAAGAAAAAAAGTCTTAAGATCAGCCAATGAAAATAGATCATGTAGAAATAATTGGCAATTATGCACAACTTTTGTTCTTGCAAAAGATATTTCGGGGTAAACAGATTAATGTCATGCAAAATAGACTGCAAGGCAGAAAGCGTTGGGTGGGATAAGGATGCCTCACGATAATGAAGATTTCAATTAGGAAGACACAGTTATCTAAATGTGGATGTACCTCATAAAAATAACGCCAAAATATATAATGCAAAAACTTGATAGCCCTATGAGGAGAAATAGACAAATTCACAATTACAGAGGTAAATTGTGGTACACTCCTCTCAGTGATTGATAGAAGTAACCAGATAAGACACAAAAGGATGAATAATATAAGTAACAAACTAGATTTGATAGCATCTATTGGACACCATAACCAATTGCAGAAAACACATATTTTCTAGTATACACAGAGCATTTGCAGACATGACTATAAGGCAAGATTTAAAACATTTCAAATGATTTACATAATATCCAAATATTCTCTGATCATAATGTAATCAAGGGAGAACTCAATAACAAAAACACAAATGGAAAGATATCTTTGGAAATTAGAAACACTATAATAAATAAATCATGCTATATAATTAATTATAATGAAAACTGAATTTTGAATTGAATAATGAAAATGCTACATATTAAAACTGTGACTGAAGCCAAAGCTTAAACTAGAAGAAAAAGCTTCATATTCATATATTAGAAAAGAAGAAATGCTGAAAAGAAGTTTAATATCCATCAAAGAAGTTTAAAAAAGCAAATGCAAAATTATCCAAAAAAGGAAAAAAATTAATAATAAAGATAGGATCAGTAATCAAAGGAAACGAAAACGAATATACAATAGGAAGGATTGAGATATATAAAAGTTTATTCTTCAATAACACGAATAAAATGGACAAAACCTTGTGATATTTACCAAAATAAAGAGAAGGTACAAATACCAATACTGGAATAAAACAGGGACTATCACTATAGCTGCCACACACAAACGTCATAGAAATAAGGCATTACTAACAACTTTAGGCCAATGAATTGGAAAAAAATAGATGAAATGGGGAAATGTTTAGGGAAGTATACCAAGACTGACTTAAGAGGAAATGGTTTTTTTTCCTTGTGATAGTTTGCTGAGAATGATAGTTTCCAGCTTCATCCATGTCCCTACAAAGGACATGAACTCATCGCTAAATGACGAGTTAATGGGTGCAGCACACAAACATGGCACATGTATACATATGTAACAAACCTGCACGTTGTGCACATGTACCCCAAAACTTAAAGTATAATAATAATTCAAAAAAAAAGAGGAAATGGAAGACTACAATAGACGAAAAACCTTCAAATCCTTACATCAGTAGTACATTTCTTTCCTTAAAACTCCAGGCCCTGCTGCCTCACAAGGTAGTTATTCCAAACACTCAAGGAAAAAACAACTCCATTCTTACACAAACTCTTCCAGACAACAGACAAAGAAGGAACATTTTGGAACTTATTTTAAGATATAACAAACCTTGATACCAAGGACAAATAAATAAGGAATATTTCAGGCCAATTTCACTTATGAACATGAATGTAAAAACTTTTAAATATAGTAATATAGTAAGCCCCAGAATAATATCATGAAATCAAAATAAAAATCAATTGAATAAAATACATGCCCCATTATTCTGAAGTTCATGAATAGTCAAGTCAAACTGGCACAGCTCACTCATTGCAGTTTTAGAGTGAGAGCTGCAGAATTCCAACCATGCCCTGGTTCCTGTTGTTGTTTTATATATGTGGATTTTTCCTTCTTTTCTTTTCTTTTTCTCTCTTCATTCCTTTCTAATTTTTTGGTCAATTTTTGGCTTAAGTATCAGTGGGGAAAATTCTTGTTCTTGCGGCTGACTTGGCTTTCAAAGACCCTGGCATAGATTTCAGAAATCTGATTATTTGGAGTTCATTTATCAGCCTGACTGTGGCTTTTACGTTGGGAGAATATTGGGATGCAGAGACCTATCCTTTACTTCATCACCTCTCAAGATATCTTTGACAAGTGCTGTGGTTTGAGTGTGTCCCCCAAGGTTCATGTGTTAGAAACTTAACCCCCCATGCAACAGTATGGGGAGGTGATGGGGTTACGAGGGCTCTGCCCTCATGAATGGATAAATGCCATTATTGCAGGAGTGGGTTAGTTATAACCCTTCTCTTGCTCTCTTGCATTCTCTGCCCTGAGATGACACAGTACAAAGGCCCTCACCAGACACCAGCACCTTGATGTAGGAATTCCCAGCCTCCAGAACTGTGAGCCAAATAAATTTCTGTTCATTATAAATGATCCAGTCTATGGTATTCTATTCTAACATGGAAAAGGAAATATCTTCACATAAAAACTACACAGAAGGATTCTGAGAAACTTCTTTGTGATGTGTGCATTCAACTCACAGAGTTGAATTCTATTCTAGCAGACTAAGACAGAAAACTAGTAGTGAGAAATCAGATCGTTGCTATAACAAATACCTGAAAATGTGGAAGTGGCTTTGGACTGGGAAATGGGTAGAGGCTGGAAGGATTTGGAGGTATGTGTTAGAAAAAGCCTGGATTGCTATGAATGGGGTGTGAAGGGCAATTCTGGTGAGGGCTCAGAAGAAAAGGAGTGGGGAAAGCCTGAAACTTCCCAGAGATTCCTTAAGTGGTTGTGACTAGAATGTTGGTGGAGATATGGACAGGACATTCTGATAAGGTGTCAGGCAGAAATGAGGAACAAGGTTTGGAAACTAGAGGAAAGGCCATCCTTGTTATAAAGATTCAAAGAACTTATCTGAATTATATCCATGCCTCAGGCTTTATGGGGAGGTGGACTATAAGAGCAGTGAACTAGGATATTTGGCAGAAGAAATGTCTATGCAAAATAATGAAGAATTTGTGTGGCTACTTTAAATCACATACAGTCAGATATGAGATAAATGACTTAAAGATGGAATTCATAATTAAAAGAGAAGCAAAATGGAAGGATTTTGAAGTTTTTCAGCCTGACCATGTAAAGAATAAAAAGGTGAGTTTGGGAGAGCAAACCAAGGGTGTGGCCAAGTGACTGTTCACTGAGGAGATGACTGGGGAGAGAAGGAATCATCAGGACAGGGAGAATGACCCTGAAGGCACCTCCAAGATCTTCAAGGCTGCCCCCATCACTGACCGGGAGCTCCAGGGAACCCACAACCAGTGCAGTGCTCAGTCACCGCAGCTGTGGCTGCAGCCATGGCTCTGGAAAGTACAAGCTATAAACCTTGGTGGCATCCATGTGGTGCCAATTTTTAGGCAAGAAGAATGCTAGAGCTGTGGGGCAGCCTCCACCTAGATTTCAAGAGATGTCATGGACAGCCTGCGGCCCCAGGCAGGGACTTGTCACAGGAGCAGAGCCACCGCAGAGAGCCTGTACTGGGGCAATGGCAAGCAGAAATTCAGGGGTGAACCGCTGCAGAGAGGCCTCACCTGGGCAATGCTGAGGAAAGGAAAAAACTAAGCCACCATTTTTTGTAGATAAAACAATTTTATCTGTAGTACATTAAAAAATATTTTACAGATAAACTATTGGAATTAGTAAGAACGTTTATGGGGGGTTACCAAAAACAATATCAGTATAAAAATTCAATTGTATTCTATATAAAAGCAACAAATAGAAAATGTCATTTAAAAATATACCATTTAAAAATCACCAATAGCATCACCAATAGCAATTATAATAGATAAAAAAGAATAGTGTGAAAAACTTTTATGAGAAAAATTATAAAACTTTACTGAAAGACTGAAAGACATTGCTGAAAACCTAAACAAATGCAGAGATGTGCCGTGTTGTGGAGAATCAAAATGCAGAGAGGTGGTTAATCTTTCAGTTGATTTCTAGATTCAGTTCAATCCCACTCAGATCCCAGGAGGTATTTGGGGTGAGGGAGGTACACATGACAAGGTAATTCAAAATATGCAAAAATTCCAGGCACAGGAAGAGCCAAGGCATTGGAGAAGGAGAAGAAGGGAGGTGGGGAAGGAAGGCACAAGAGATCTTCTGCTATCAGTTTTGTGGATGTTATTGGCTGCATTAATACCATGTAGTATTGGTTCAGGAATGAAAAGATAGATACGTGGAACAGAATAGAGAGCTCATAAATGCTTGGCAACTTCTGGCATAGAAAGCAATTCAGAGTTCTGGGGGAAAAGTGCATTTATGTTCACCAGCGTATCATATATATGATAGTATGTAACCACATATATTATACTACTTATGAAATTATAGTATATTTGTCCTATAATAGCCAAATCTGGAAACAGCCCAAATGTCCATCAACAGTAGAATGATAGAATGAATCAATACACTCTAATATATTCATTCAAAAAATATTTAGTTAGAGGAAAAAAAGGTAGGCTACGTGAAACAGCATGGATGAATCTACCAACCTAAAGGAGAGTGGAAAAAAATATATCAACATTATACAAAGTTCAAAAGTAAGCAAAATTAAACCATATTTTACAGGGATGCATGCAATGGTGGTAAAGAAAAGTATCACTGTGCAAGTCAGGAGAATGGTCTGTCTTGGTAGGAATGAGGGAATTGCAGTCAGGAAGTGATGCATGAAGGACTTTTAGGATGACAATCATGTTCAATGTCTTGACTTGGCTCATGGTTAGTTGGATTTTCAATCATTTAAGTGCTACCTGTAACATTTATTCACATTTCTATATATTTTGCAAAAGAAATGAAAATCAATTTTAGAACCTGGTTGAGAATTAGTTGGATTTCTACTTATTTGTTAAATATCAAAGTATTTATGCACATCTCTGCATATGTTATTTTTCCCCATAAAAATTGTGTACCTGCATAATTAGACTTCCAATGAAGCAATTTCCAGACTGATTCCATTTCCTACGGGCAAGTACACTGTGCTTTTCTGATGTTTCCTTTGGTGTTCACTTCACATTTCTTTTTTCTTTTTCTTTTCTTTTTTTTTTTTTTTTTTTGAGACAGAGTCTCACTCTGTCGCCTGGGCTGGAGTGCAGTGGTGCGATCTCCGCTCACTGCAAGCTCTGCCTCCCAGGTTCACACCATTCTCCTGCCTCAGCCCCCCAAGTAGCTGGAACTACAGGCACCCACCACCATGCCTGGCTAATTTTTTGTATTTTTAGTAGAGGCGGGGTTTCACCGTGTTAGCCAGGATGGTCTTGATCTCCTGACCTCGTGATCCACCTGCCTTGGCTTCCCAAAGTGCTGGGATTACAGGCGTGAGCCACCGCACCTGGCTTCACTTCGTATTTCTAAATAGTAAGCTCATAGTGCTAGGTCTTTATTTTTAAATTTTAGATACTACTTATTGACAGTCTACATCCCCCAGATGAGGACTTGGCTGTCTTTTTTTTTTTTTTTTGAAACGGGGTCTCACTATGTTGCCCAGGCTGGTATTGAACTCCTGAGCTCAAGTGATCCATCCACCTCAGCCTTCCAAAGTGCTGGGATTACAGGTATGAGCCACCTCGCCTGGCCCAGTCGGACTTGGCTTTCTAATTTTCCTCTTGCTCTCTATGCTCACACACAAACATTTCCTATCCTGTTCCTCCCTAAATATTTTGGTTTTTGTTTATGTCAATTCTCAGAATTTACATTATTATGACTATGTAAATATCATTTATCCCCAAAATAATTCAACCTCCATCTCCTCTCAATATGCCAATTCTATCAGTTTCATTATTTTTGTTGGAGACATCCCTCCAGAAATACTTATCCTTTTCCTCCAATCTGGACTTGTGTTTACATTATATGCACATGAAAATATTTTTCACAGACTTCTACTGCCAGCCATGACACAGACTTGTCCACTGGAAACAACTACAGCATGGGCAGCACAGGAGACGAGGCATTTTAGGCTTTGAAAAGTGTGTGTTGGGAGTGTCATCTGGTTGGGCATCTCGACCATGAGCTCGCCCACTTTATTTATTTTTTTTAAAGGCAAGACTGGATGCAGTGGCTCATGCCTGTAATCCCAGAACTTTGAGAGGCTGAGTTGGGTGGATCACAAGGTCAGGAGTTTGAGACCAGCCTGACCAACATGGTGAAACTCTGTCTCTACTGAAAATATAAAAACTAGCCTAGCGTGGTGGCACATGCCTGTAGTCTCAGCCACCCAGGAGGCTGAGGCAGGAGAATCGCTTGAACCTGGGAGGTGGAGGTTGCAGTGAGCCAACATTGCACCACTGCACTCCAGCCTGGGGGACAGAGCAACACTCTGTCTCAAATAAAAGCAAACAAACAAACAACAACAACAAAAAAAAAAAAAACAAGAAAAATGGGCATCACAGGGGAAGAGAAACTTACGAGATGAGCCCTTGTTGCCTGCCACTGCTCTGGCTTTCTGCCTGGGTGCTCTCCTGCTGCAGGGGAGGGAGGTAGAGTCAAGCAGGATGGTGATCTCCTGGAGCTGAGAAGGAAGAGACTGAAGTTCAAGTTTTTGAAGCGGTTGGATTTGTTTGGTGGGGTTTCTGAGAAGGGGAAACACACAGATAGAAGCCCCCAGAAACATGCATGGGGCTTCAGCATGGTCCCTCAGCTCGAGTCTGGGCTGACAGGTGAAGGGCAGGACTCTGTGGGGCTTAGCAGGTATTGCCTACTGCAGGCCATGAGCTAGTGGTGACAAAGGAAGCAGGCAGTTTTGGGAGACACTGGAGTACCAGCCTCAGCAGTGGAGAAACCTCACTGAGAACTTTGGAATGGAGTTGAGTTCCCAGAAAGGCCAAACTTTAAGTGTAAGTCCCACACTCTAGAGTAAGGATCATATCATAAAAATACTTTCTAAACCAAAACAGACCCACTCTAGCAAAGAATAGACCTAAGGCTGAGAAGACCAAAAGTAAGTACCACTAATTCCACTGTCTGCCAGAACAAACACAACACCCTGTAAAGAAAGAAGACATGAGCTTCTCTGTCTACAACATATTGTACACAATGTGCAGCATACAACAAAAAATTACTAGATATGGCTAACAGTATGGAGGTTCCTCAAAAAAACTAAAAATACAACTATCGTATGATCCAGCAATCCCACTGCTAGATATATACCCCAAAGAGAGGAAATCAGTACATAGAAGAGATATCTGCACTCCCACTTTATAACTGCACTATTCAAAATAGCTAAGACTTGGAAGTAGCCTATGTCCATCAACAGATGAATGGATAAAGAGAATGTGGTACGTGTATACAATGAGTACTATCCATCCACAAAAAGAATGAGATCCTATCATTTGCAACAACATGGAAGGAACTGGAGGATATCATGCTAAGTGAAATAAGCCAGGCACAGAAAGACAGACTTTGCATGTTCTTACTCATTTATGGGAGCTAAAAATTAATCAAACTCATGAAGATGGAGAGTAGAATAGTGGTTATCAGAGGCTGAGAAGAATAGTGACGAGTGCAGGAGAAAGTGGAGATGGTTAATGGGTACAAAATACAGTTCGAATGAATAAAATATAGTAATTGATAGTAGACTGACTGCAGTCAACAATAATTTAGCACGTTTAAAATAACTTAGAAATGGGTATGGTGGCTCATGCCTGTAATCCTAGCACTTTGGGAGGCTGAGGCAGGTGGATCTCCTGAGGTCAGAAGTTCAAGACCAGCCTGGCCAACATGGTGAAACCCCATCTCTACTAAAAATACAAAAATTAGCCCAGGCGTGATGGTGGGCGCCTGTAATCCCAGCTACTGGGAGGCTGAGACAGGAGGATCGCTTGAACCCGGGAGGTGGAGGTTGCAGTGAGCCAAGACCGCACCATAGCACTCCAGCCTGAGTGACAAGAGCAAAACTCCATCTCAAAAAACAAAAAAACAACAAACTTACAAAGTATAGTTGGAATGTTCATAACACAAAGAAATAAAAAATGTTTTAGGCAATGGACACCCCATTTACCTCAATGTGATTATTTCACATTGCATGCCTGTATCAAAATATTTCATGTACCCCATAAATGTATACACATACTATGTACCCATAAAAATAAAGAATTAAAAAATTTGAAAAATTAGATGTGCAAATAAATGAGGAAATATAAGCCATCGTCAAGAGAATATGCAGTTGAAGGAAACTGGTCCCTAGATAACCTAGATGTTGGAATTAGCAAGCAGCCCTCTCCAGAAACTATGACAAATTCACATCTTTGTCACGGCTACTGGAGTGAGTGAGCAAATGGGGAATCTCAGTAGAGAATTCTAAACTACAAAAAGAGGGGAAATTAGAAAACTGAAAAGCACAATATATAAAATAAAAAATTAACAGGACAAGTTTAACAGAGGGTTGCAAATGTTAGAAGAAAGGGTCAATGAACTATTTAATCTGCAGAACAGAAAAATTATTAAAATAGAACATGAACAGAGTCTCATAATCTTTAGGACAATATCTATCTCTCCAACACAAGTGTGAGAGAAGTTTGGAAGGAAAAGAAAGAAAGGAGTAGAGAAAATATGTTGGAAGAAGAGCTGAGAATTATGTGAAGCTTTGAAAGACAAGAACCCACAGATCACAGAAGCCCAGCAAACCCTACGCAGGATAAATATGAAGAAAACAGCACCGAGGCACATGAGGGTGAAACTGTTGAAACCAAAGGGAAAGAGAAGGTCTTGAAAGCAGCCAGAGAGAGATGACAATTCTATCCAAGTGGATGATAACACGAATTAGGGTTGATTTTTTCAAAAACAACGGAGGCCAGAATACAATGGGATAAGATTTTAAAGAGCAGAAAGAAGCAGCTGTCAACCCAGAATTCTAAATCCTGTGAAAATATCATTTAAAATTGAAGATGCAGTAAAGATATTTCGCTCCAAGCATAATTGTATTACAAGAATTCTAAAGGAAGTTCTTCATGACCCTAGATAGAAATTCAGATCTATAGGAATGGATGAACAGCCTCTAGAATGGTAAATAGAAAAGACTTCATACTTTACATTTTTTCTTCTAATTTTTCAAAAGTCATATTACTGGTAACCCAAATAGTATCTCACTGCTTTGTGAGGTTTATAATGTACGAATATATAATATATATGACAACAATACAGAAAGCAGTGCAAGGACATGTAAGAAAAAGGGAGTTAAAATGAGATACTAAAAAATTTTGACTAGTCCAAAAGAAGTCAGGAAAGGAGGAACAGAAAAACAAAATACCGAAAACAAATAGCAAAATGCTATCCCCAAGTCAAACCACGTCATCACATTACAAGCAAGGGTTATCCAGAGCTTAGCATCTGCTATCACCATGGATCCTTTCTTTTTGTTTTTCCTAAAGTTAATTGCCTTATTTGTCCTATTAGATTAGTTTCTGTGTAGCCATTTGTAATTTTCCCCATTCCTTAAAAGAGGCTCTCACACAATTTTCAGCCAGGCTAATCACATCCGTTAATATGTCAATTCCAGTTTTTAATTATTTTACTTTTGCAGGGAAGACATCTTCCCATGCGTCATATTTTCTTCCGTGTGGAGGGAGCTCTGTTCATTCCTAGCCTTTCTTTACATACACACACAGGTGCATGCTTATGCGTGCACACACACCACGCACAGGTGCACGCCGATGCCTGCACACACACCACACACAGTGCATGCTCATGCACATACCCACACACAGTGCAGGCACAGGCATGCACACACAGCACACACAAGTGCACACTCATGCATGCACACACACCACACACAGTGCACGCTCATGCATGCACACATACCACACACAGGTGCACGCTCATGCATGCACACACACCACACAGTTGCACGCTCATGCATGCACACACACCACACACAGTGCATGCTCATGCACACACACCACACAGTGCACACGCATGCATGCACACACAGCACACACAGGTGCACACTCATGCATGCACACACACCACACACAGTTGCACGCTCATGCATGCACACACACCACACACAGTGCATGCTCATGCACACACACCACACAGTGCACACACATGCATGCACACACAGCACACACAGGTGCACACTCATGCATGCACACACACCACACAGTGCACGCTCACGCACACACACCACACAGTGCATGCTCATGCACATACACCACACACAGTGCACATGCATGCATGCACACATAGCACACACAGGTGCACGCTCATGCACACACTGCCCAGGAGAGTGGAGGATTGACCCGACTGTTGAGAGTGAAGAAGAAATGGGTGTGCACAGTCCGGAGGTGGCTCCTCTTCTTCCTCGAAGGGGTGACTGTGTGTGCAGGAAACTCCCCCGTCTGTTCTCCAGGGTGGTCTCTGCTTGACAGAGGAGCCAGCCCCAGTGCAGAGGGGCTTCCTGTTACTGCAGCTCATTTTTATGGGCCAGTACTAGGAAGTGCGCTTCTCTGAAGAGCTAAGACACATTCACTAGTAGAAGTTTTATGATAATGAAAGGGAATATTTTGGTCTCAGAAAATTATAACCAGAGGCACTGTCTGTCGGAGTAGCCATCCATTTACTAAGGTGACCTGAAATGTGTGATGTCAAATGAAACTGTCTGGCAGCCCATCAGTTAATCAGCAGATGAGATGAGCAGGATCCGTTTCTCATATTCTAGAAATAAAACCCGTCTCTTTTGTAATCGCCTGTTCGTTGCCTTTTAGTTTCTTTGTTATTCAAAAATTGTAGAAGTTGTGTACCATATGTTACTAATAATTTCTTCCACTGCACTCCACAGCTTTGGTTCATTCATTTACCGTGTGAGAGTTAACCCTCTGTAGTTTCCGATGCTCAGGATGCAAAGTCTCTGCCTAAATTTGTTTTCCCTCATATTAACATCTGTTATGGGGTGAACTGTGTCCCCCAAAAGAAGATAGATGGAAGTCCTAATCCTTAGCACCTCAGAGTGTAGCTATTTTGGAAATAGGGTGTTTGCAGATTTAGCCATGTCAAGATCAGGTCGTTACTGTGGGTCCTAATCCAATATGACTGATGTCCTCATAAAAAGGGGACATTTGGAGCCAGCACAGTTGAGGGAAGACGGCAGTGCGGTCATGGAGTCAGAGGCTGGAGGGATGCGGTGATGAGCTGCCAAATGCCAAGCACTGCAGAGCTCCCAGGAGCTGGAAAGATGGGAAGGATCTACCCCTCCAGGAGTCAGGGAGAGCAGGGCCCTGCTGACAGCTGGATCTCAGACGTCCAGCCCCAGGACTGAGACAAGACCTTTCTGGGGTTTTGTTTTTCCTTTTATTGATTAATTGACTGATTGACAGGGTCTCCTTCTGTCACCAAAACTGGAGCGCAGTGGCACAATCATAGATTACTGCAATCTCAAACTCCGGGGCCAAGGTAGTCCTCAGCCTCCTGAGTAGCTGGGACCACAGGCACGCCACCACGCCTGGCTAATTGTTTTCATGTTAATCTTTTGTAGAGATGAAATCTTTCTGTGTTGCCCAGGCTGGTCTCAAGGGATCTGCCCTCCTTGGCCTCCCAAAGTGCTGGGATTACAGGCATGAGCCAGCGTGCCTGGCTGATGTCTGTTGCTTAAAGTCACCCAGTTTGTGGCACTTAGCTATGGCTGCCCCAGGAATCTGATACAATGTCTAATTTCCAATTTTTAGTATATATGCTGCTGAAGCGAGCACAGTATCTAATTTCCACAGCAATGTTTAAAAACAGCATTTTGGGCTGGGCGTGGTGGCTCACGCCCGTAATCCCAGGACTTTGGGAGGCCAAGGCGGGCACATCGCTTGAGGTCAGGAGTTTGAGACCAGCCTGGCCAAAGTGGTGAAACCCCGTCTCTACTAAAAAATACAAAAATTAGCCGGGTGTGGTGGCACACGCCTGTAGTCCCAGCTACTCAGGAGGCTGAGGCAAAAGAATCGCTTGAACCCAGGAGGCGAAGGTTGCAGTGAGCCGAGATCGTGCTATTGCACTCCAGCCTGGGCGACACAGTGGGACACTGTCTCAAAAACAAAACAACAAAAAAACCTACAGCATTTTGCATCCCTATTGTTTAAAAAAAATCTGATTTATCATATCTTAAAAATCATGAGTTCAACTCTATTTCTGTCTGCATTTGTCTTTTGCTTCATCCATCTCTTCCCCTGTTGCTAACACGGATCTTTCTCCGTGAGAGCACACCCTCTGTGTTCCTATCCCTTGTCTGTCCTTCCCTCCGTTCCTGACCTCTTTCTTTCCACCCTCGAATCTTTTTCTTTCTCTCTTTCCTGTGCTTCAGAGTATTTTCATCTAACGTTCTGCGGAGGCCCATGGTTGGAGGGAGTGACAGCCGCGCCTTCCCGTGAAGGGAATGGAGTAGGTGCCACACAATGGGCGTGCCCACCGGAGACCCGAGCAAGAGTGAATGATTTTCAAATTAACCTCCTCGTTCTTCACCTTCCTCAGGAACACGCTACTCATGGTACTTGCTAAATTCTGCTTTGCTCTCCTGTGAGTTTTTTGCACAACTACTTTTTCCTGGGGTCTAAACTCCTTGAGAAACCACGTGCAGCCCTTGGTGAGGCTGGAAAGGAGGATGCTAGAGGGGCTGCAGGAAGGGGTGCGTGGGTCTGAGCCTGCGGGGCTGGGGCAAGCTGTTACGGGGGCTGCAGGAAGGGGGACGTGCGTCTGAGCCTGCGGGGCTGGGGCAAGCTGCTTTGGGATAGGCGGTCTCCTCAGTGCCCTCCCCTGTAGCTGTGGGGCGTCAGGGGGTGTCTGGTGCAAGTGCTTTGGCCAAGACTCTGTGACTGTCTGCCTGGCCACGCTTTCCCATCTGGGGTCAGATTCCCGAGGAGCCTGTGCGTGCGGAAACCTTGGCTTTGGCGTTGCATGAAGGCCCCGCGGGGAAATGTCCTCAGTGAGCATCCAGAGAGGCGTTCCAGGAACGGGGATCCAGGGCCCCGTGTGCCCGTTTCTCTCTGAGCCAGGGCAGGGTGAGGAGTGGGGAAGGAAACCGGAGCCTGGTCAGGCTCACGGAAGCCGCGTGCAGAGCGTGACAACCTGCCAAGATCCCCCACGCCCACACCGGAGGTCTGACCACCAGAGGGAAACCACCAGCCGGGCAGCACCTGGGGCGGGGGAGATGAGCAGCTGGTCTGGGAGAGGCCCTGGCCATGCACTTCGAGGGCTGAGTGACACAAGGTCCCCATGGGCAGGGGAAGGGTTTTGAATCAGATCTTTTGGACAATCCATGGTTCCTTATAAACTAACCTCTCCTGGCTAAAAAGGCCTGACTTTCCAGGGGTGTCCACCGGCTTCTGTTTCCTTTTGTGTCTGTCGCTGGGACTACAGGCCCTACACGTGTGTAAGCTCCTGAGCCACGTCCTAGGACTGTAGGACCTACCTGAGTGTAAGCTCCTGACCCACGTCCTGGGACTAGGCCCTACCTGAGTGTAAGCTCCTAAGCCACGTCCTAGGACTACCGGCCCTGCATGCATGTAAGCTCTTGAGCCACATCCTAGGACTACAGGCCCTACACGTGTAAGCTCCTGAGCCACGTCCTAGGACTACCGGCCCTACACGTGAAAGCTCCTGAGCCACGTCCTAGGACTACCGGCCCTGCATGCATGTAAGCTCTTGAGCCATGTCCTAGGACTACAGGCCCTACACGTGTAAGCTCCTGAGACACGTCCTAGGACTGTAGGCCCTACCTGAGTGTAAGCTCCTAAGCCACGTCCTAGGACTACTGGCCCTGCATGCATGTAAGCTCCTAAGCCACGTCCTAGGACTACTGGCCCTGCATGCATGTAAGCTCCTCAGCCACATCCTAGGACTACAGGCCCTGCATGCCTGTAAGCTCCTGAGCCACGTCCTAAGACTACAGGCCCTGCATGTGTGTAAGCTCCTGAGCCACGTCCTATATGACATCCAGCACATGGCTTGGCAAAGGATGCTGTCTAAAATTCTTCATGAGTCCACACAAAGCAAATGGAGTCATAAAAATAAAACAAAAAAGAGTAACGTAGAAAATAAACCAAAAAACCCTGAATCATGTACATCCGATGTTCTCCTCAAAGATCACACAGGACCCTCACCCTTTGAGACGCCGTCTGCCCAGACACACTGCTTGCTAGATATGAGGAGCTGTGGGTCCCCAGAGATCACACAAGATCCTCACCCTCTCAGATGCCGTACACCCGGACGCACTGCCTGTTGGATGTGAGCAGCTGCGGGTCCCCAGAAATCACAAGGGACCCTCACCTGCGAGTTCAGAGATCACACAGGACCCTCACCCTCTGAGATGCCGTCCACCTGGACGCACTGCTTGGTGGATGTGAGCAGCTGTGGGTCCCCAGAGATCATACAGGATCCTCACCTGCGGGTCCCCAGAGATCACACAGGATCCTCACCCGCGGGTCCCCAGACATCATGCAGGACCCTCACCCTCTGAGATGCCATCCGCCTGGACGCACTGCTCGCTGGATATGAGGAGCTGTGGGTCCCCAGAGGTCACACAGGATCCTCACCTGTGGGTCCCCAGAGATCATGGGGGATCCTCACCCTCTGAGACGCCATCTGCCCGGACACACTGCTTGGTGGATGTGAGCCTGCGGGTTCCTGGTTTCTGCCCAGCTGACATGTGGTGGTTCTCAGCGAGGCTGCTCGGGCGCTGTAGGCTGGGTGCCCCATCCTCCAGCGGCTGTCATGTGGCCATGGGTGGGTCACAGCCACGCGTGTTCCCAGTGTGATGAGCCGATGGGTGGGCTGCTCTCTGCCCACACCCGGCTGGCCCAGGCCGTTGTCTTGCCCTGAGGACTGGCCCTGTGGTGTCCTGAGTGGCAGGGCCAAGGGCTCTGCTTCTTCCTGTGCTGAGGTGGTCACCCCGTGACAGGTTCTGTCTGCAGCGCACACCCTCCAGGAGGCACCTGCCCCCCAGCCCCTGCCTCAGGCCCCGCTTCCTGGAGCCCAGCCTAAGACATCGGTGGCCAGGACGGCAAGGACCTGAGACACAGTGCCAGCCACAGCAGCACTCCTGCCTGAGTGGGGTCTGGATGTTCCGGGAGGGCCCTTGTCTCAGACTCCCCCAGACCTTTCTCGACAAATGAAGCTTCAACCTCTGGTTTGCCAGGTGATGGTTAGGCAGCCTGGTCTCACAGCTGCTGGACTCCCTGGATCACTGTGGCCTCAGTGTGGACAGTGGAGCCTCACGACCCTCTCTGTTTTTCTTTGCTTTTGTCAGGTGTGGGTGTGAGATGGCCCAGACTTGGGCCACAGCCACAAGCTTCTGTGACTCACGCAACTCAAGAGCACTGTAGTGGGGTCTCACCGCAGAAGCCATCTGGGAATGCTCTTGACTTGGGGTGTGTGCGTGTTTTCCCATTTTGAAGAATAAGGTCAATTTTAAAATTTTCTGACACTTTCTCGCTTTGCCAATTTTTGATGGCAAAATTTTAGTCTCCAGCCTCTCCTTTCTACTTCAGAAGCTTGTGTGTTGCTTGTCTCAGCTGTTAGTGGATATGGGTTCTGAAAATGGTAATTAATTTTAACAATAGCTTAAGTAAGCCAGACATTAATCATAATTGGCAAAGGAAATATGCTGTAAAGTATTATATAATCTAAGATAAAACAGGAGCAATTTTTGCATAATTTGTTATTTTGTACTGCCTGTGTTATCATTAGCACAGTGATTAAGAATTAACTGAAATTACTCAAATTACCAGAAATAATTCAATTATCGATAATTGTATATCGATGTATAATAACATATACAACCAAACACTTAGGTGATTTGCTCAGGATACATTTCACAACTTGTTTTTCCATCAAAATATTTTTGACTCACAGTTGAATTCTCAGTACTTCCATCAATTAAATGGAAAAGCAAATTAATTGTAGTGTGGGAATCTCTGGGAGTATTTCTTGCTTTTTCTCTTTTACTAATGTACTTGTTCTTCAGTAAATAGATTGGATAGTTTGTTACTTCCAGAGGAAGACAGTAACCACCAATAGACAGGAAAATGTACCTCTGGTTTACCAAACTTAGTCATAGTCACATTACAGAGTTAATTCTATAATGTTGTGAAAAACACCTGTGTCACAAAAATGTTAATGATCTCTTGACTGCATAGATGAGTTGCGTTCCGGAGTCTTAAGTTGCTTTCTAAATACTAATTAATTAAACCCAAGCTTTCTGTGTCAGGCGATTACTCACTTTTGTCCTTTCCTTAGTCTACCCAAGCTGAATTTCTGATAATATGGTAAGACAAGAATGAAACATAACCCAAAACATAAGCTTCCAGCCACGGTTCTGTGTGGAAATTGCAGCTTAGGAAGATTTTGTCACAATGAGATGGTAACCCCTGCTTCCCCCGGCCATACAGAGGATTGAAGATGTAAGTACCTGGGGGACGCCAGCCACAGTGTTTTACCACCTACTCTTCCAGTAGCTTTGGAAAAGGAAAAAAAAAAGTCACAGAATTGGGGCACACAGGGGAGAGTGCAGCATGAACAATTTTCCATTAATCTGATAAAGAGGGAGGTAGTCTAGGTGCAGCTCTGAGATGCATTTCTGCAGGGGAGCCACTCCCTGAGAGCTTTGTGTTTCCTTCCTGTTAGCGATCTCATGAATAAATAAACTCTCTGCCTGGCACCGATACCTCCAGCCTGCTCTGATTCAACACATTCCTTTGCTACTCTTTCCCACCCCAGTCAGATTTCCTGAAATCTCGAGCCCATTACACGTAAGTAATTAATTTTTCACTCATTAGAATTGGCTTGGAATTCAGTGAGACAGAAAAAAATAGGTGAGGTCCTGGAAGTTAGGGTAAATAATGGTGACGAATTACCCGTCAGCAGACAGTAAAGCAAGACCTAGAAACGGGTCCTCAAATACTAGCTGGCATGGTAATTAATTAATTGTTTAATTAGATACATGTAGCTGTCGCTCTGTGGAGCTCACAACACTGTTTTCGAGACTTGTCTAGGCAAAACTGTGGAGTAGCTCAAAAACGTGACTTTAATCCCTGATGGAAATTTCGGGGGTTTGGCAGAGCTTTTGAAGCCAACAGCCCTGGGAGTCTATTTGATTCATTCTAATAAACATCTATTGGGCACCTTCATTCCTGCCTGGGCAGACATTTGAACCAGGTTTTTACACTTAGGAACACGTAAGATGGCAAGGTGTTCACCAACCACACGTTCCGCAAGGCTGCTCACAGGTGGAGCAGAATGAGACCGAGGAAGGGGCTGCTCCTCTCCGCTCCTGTGCTGGTCTGCACTTCCAGACAGAGGCACTATGCTGTTTGTGGTGTCAGTCAACACAATGGGACAATTATAGATAAGCCAGCCACCAGACAAAACACACACATAAATGACCAATCCCAGGGAGAGCAGGTGGATAAAGAGGTGTGTAATTCCACAGGTGGGAGAGAATCTTTCTAACCAGGAGATTTGGGAAGGCTGCATGGAAGAAGTGGCGTTTGAACTTGGACTGGACTGGGTGAAATTCCGTGTGCGGCTATGACTCAGGTTGTGGGGAAGGGGAGACGACAGGAGGGAGCACATTAGAAAAACAGACACCACAGGTGGGGACTCTCCATGGACAGCTGGGAATTCTGCAGCTGAACCTCGGAGCTTGAAAGAGACGGGAGGAACAGAAAGCAGGAGAAATGTTTAGTGCAGGGCTCGTGAGACCATTGGTGTCAATTAAGGATTTCTTCAGTTTGCAGGCATAGAATCATGGGTTGTACAGCAAGGGGCCTGTGGTCTGTGCTAAGAGGGACTTTTTAGAAGAGTGATCTGACAGCCGTGGTGGGAAGACTGGAAGGAGGCTCTGAAGGCCTGACATGGGCCATAGCCAGAGGCCTCGACAGGAGCAGGTGGCGCACAAGAGAAATGCTGTGGGTAGAAGTTCTTGAGGGGACTCAAAGTGAAAGGGAGGCTGCTCTCAGAAATAATGTACATGGGGGAAAGTATTGGTAGGTAGGATGAGTTTGATTGTGGACAGCATGAATTTCAAGGAGATGGTAGGAGTTCCAGATAAAGATGATATCTATCAGGCTCCTGGAAATGGCAGTCTAAGACCGAGAGCCCACACTCACACGTGTAATGTGTAGGTGCCCAAAGACCTGCTGAAAGGAACCATCAGCTCAAAATCTGAGTTTGCAATTGATGTGTTTAATGCAAATTACAAGTTTTCTTTGCAACCAACATCAGTCATAGGATCATATGCAAATGATTAAGGCCCATCAAAAAGAATATATATATATATATATATATATATATATATGTATTTTTTTTTTTGAGACTGAATCTCGCTCTGTCACCCAGGCTGGAGTGCAGTGGTGCGATCTCGGTTCACTGTAACCTCCACCTCCCGGGTTCAAGTGATCCTCCTGCCTCAGCCTCCTGAGTAGCTGGGACTACAGGTGTGTGCCACCATGCCCAGCTAATTTTTTGTAGTTTTTAGTAGAGATGGGGTTTCACCATATTGACTAGGCTGGTCTTGAACTCCTGACCTCATGATCCACCTGCCTTGGCCTCCCAAAGTGTTGGGATTACAGGTGTGAGCCACCGTGCCTGGCCCGCGAATATATATTTTTTATTCCGACATTATACCGCCCTAAATGGACTTGACACCATTTATTGCTTGGAATGCACAGTGCATCTTTGCTGTAATGAAATGAACTCAGGGCTTTGCTTTGGAGACTGGGGTTTGAATCCTGGTTCTGCTCCCCTTTCTGTCTCTAAGGACTTTTATCTGTGACGTGTAGGGGCTGTGTGGGATCTTCCCCACGGCCCCTGCATTGCTGGTCGGTCTCTTTATCATGCAAAGGGGAGAGATGATGGTGGGGCCACATGCTTGTGCCACCCGTATCTGTTGCATTGAACGCAGTCTGGAGCGAAGGACGAACCCACGGCGCACACCAGGCGGAGGCACACGGCTCGGCGCAGGAAGCACACGGGTTTGGGGTTCCTGTTTCCCAGCTCATCGTCGAATGTCATTCTCACAATTCCCCACTGAAAGGACCGATCCTTACAGGAAATGCACACACCTCTGGCGGTTGCCACCACTGCTAGATCCATGGGAAGGGCAAAGGTGGGTGAGGCATGGGCTCTGTCCTCCAGGCGCTTACACTCACAAAGAATACAGAGAAGATAAAAAAGGTCAAACGTGATGAGGGCGGGAAGTGGCCGGTGCAGGAAGAGAAAGGAGAGAGATTGTTCTGGACCTGGGGTCAGGGATGGCTGTGGGTGGCAGGGGCAGAGAAGGGGCAGGCTCTCCGGGGTGGAGGCCGGGAGCAGAGGTGCTGCGGGTCAGCCGCGTTGTTTGCAGGAGCCGGAGTGTGGAGGCCGCAAGGCTGCCGTGCAGGTGGGTCCCGGCTGGTGGGGGCTCCGGTCGAAGCGGGGTGGGGGGGTGGTGGGGGGTAGGGGTAGGGGGGTGAGGTGGGGGACCTGTGTTCCTGCGGCCCACTCTGAAAGGGGAGTGAGTGCAGCTGGGCCTCCGGGAGCCAGCGCTGGCCAATGTCCCGTGGAGGACGGGGAGGCGAGGAGGTCTTTAGGAAGCTCTGGGCCTAAGGGAGGGGCCGGGCTGGGAAGAGGGGGTACAAGGATGAAAAGGAGGCCAGGTCGTCGGGGCTTTGTGCAACAGACTGGGGAGGATGTGTGGAGACAGAGGAAGGTGATGATGAAGACAACGGGGGCGGTTCTGAGAAGCAGAACTTCCAGTGACTAAGAGTCACTGGAAGCAGCTGGCTTCATTTAGGGTTTGTGGCGTTTGGGGTGTCTAGGGGCTTCCAGGGAAGTTTGCTCAGTGGACGGTTGGAGATGCGAGGGCCTCCCCAGATGGTCAGGACTAGAGGCACAGACGGGGCTTCAGCCTCGCCGAGGTGGCACTGAGGCTGGGAGCTGATGGCCCCACAAGGAGAAGGACGGTGGGAACCCTGGGGCCTGCAGCCTGTTCCGGGAGGGCTGGAGCCAGGCTTTTCGGGCCCACCTGGCATTTGGAGATTAGGTGACCCAACCTTGTCTTCCCATCCCCTTTTCACAGATGGGGACACTGACCCTCCAGGCAAAGGCTCAGAGTCGCTCAAGGTCATCTGCTGGTCGTTGCATTCGAAACTTCCAGCCTAGCGCTCCGTCTCCGCCTCTTAAAATGTTCATTAACAAAAAACCAGCCCTCCAAGACCCGGGGCACTGCGAGTTTTCGCGCAGACGTCAAGCTGCGGCTCCAGGACGTGATTTTCGCAGGGAGCCGGGTGGACCAGGCTCTGGGGCCGGGCCCGCAGGCTCCGCTGGACGCGCAGAGCCCAGGACAGACAAGACCGCCCCGCCCCGCCCCGCCCCGCGGGCCCCGAGCCCCCAACCCGCCCCCGAGCGCGCCCCCGGGAGCGCGCGCTTCGCCGACGCGGCCGCGCGCCCCCCCGCGCGCTCCCGCTCCTGCGCGTCCTCGCGCCCCGCGCGCGCGCGCCCTGCCCCCGCGGCCCCGTGACGCGCGCGCGCAGAGACGCTCCCGCCGGGCCGGGGCCGAGAGCAGCAGGGCCGGGTCCGGGTCCGCAGCGCCTGCGGGGAGGGGCCGAGCGCGCGCGGGGCGGGCCGGGGACCGTGGGGCGCGGGGGCGCGCGAGGCGGCCGTGGCGGGGCCGCGCTGAGGAGGCGCCGAGGGGAGGGAGGTCCCTGCGCGCCCGCCGCCCGCCTCCCGCGCCCGCGCCGCCGCCTCCTCCTCGGTGCGGTTCCGCCGGGCGCGAGGAGCCGCCGAGACCTCCGCCTGCGAACAAAGAGGAGGCCGTGCGGGGCGCGGCGCCCGCGGAGCATGGCGGACCGCAGCCTGGAGGGCATGGCGCTGCCCCTGGAGGTGCGGGCGCGCCTGGCCGAGCTGGAGCTGGAGCTGTCGGAAGGTAACCGGGCCCCCGCCCCGGGCCGGGCCGCGCTGTCACCGGGGAGGGCCGCGCGCGGAGGGCTGGGGGCGCGGGGCCTGCGGCGGGGCGGGGGCCGGGCCCGGAGGGGGAGGTGCGACCCCAGCCCGGAGCGTGCGCGTCCCCCGGACCCCCAGACCCCGCGCCCTAGGGACGTTTGTGAGGCCGCGATCCCCCGCGCTCTGGGGACGTTTGTGGGGCCGCGATTCCCCGCGCCCTGGGGGTGTCTGTGGGGCCTGGGATCCCCTCGCGCTCTGGGGGTGTTTGTGGGGCCGCGATCCCCCGCGCCCTGGGATGTTTGTGGGGCCGCGATCCCCCCGCGCCCTGGGGGTGTCTGTGGGGCCTGGGCGCCGCGCGGGGACGCAGGATGCAGCGGGCCCGGCGGGATCGGCCTTCCCGTGCGCTCTGCGCTGGAGCCGCGGCGTCCTTGGTGCAGCAGCGCGGTGCGCGCCACCTCCTCGCTGGCGGGTTCGGCCTGGAACGCCCGGCCAGATTTCAATGCGAAACTTGTCGTTGGACCCCGGGTTCGATCTCTGGTGGCTCAGGCCGTGCAGCGGTCCTGGCGCGGCCCGGGGGATCCCACCCCCATTGTTCGCGGGCGCTGCGCGGGGAGGGCTGGGCGGAATCGTCAACCTCCCCCCGGGCCGGGCTCCGGCCTTGCCGTCCTGGTCCTCTCGTAGGAGGGTTTGTGGCAGATCAGCCACCGCGGTCTTATGGAGGGTTGTGTACGCCTCTTATTTGCTCTTCATGGCGGAGATCATGTGCTCAACTGTCATAAGTTTCAGATCGGGCTTTGCCAGGTCTTTTCCCCAAAACCACTGAAGTTCCCAAATCTGAAATGTTTGATGTGCATTTAGCCGTCTCTGGGCTCATCCTGGTCAGGCCATTCCTGTAACGTGGGGTGGGGTGGGGGTGGGCCGGCGCGTCTCACATTTATATTTGGAGCAGTTTAGCATGGTGAACTTTTTTTGGGTAACGGTTTTGTGAGGGCCGGCAGCCAGAAAGTAAACTCATTCGTGCCAATTTTCACCGGCAGGGAGGAGCTGGTGTTGACTTTATGTTTTCCTTTTTAACACTTTCAGGGCAAAGAAGGGAGTGAGCAGGGGCCATGGTGTGCAGCCAACTGCCTTTCCAGACTTCTGGGGACGGGAAATGGTACTGTTTTTCAGTTTCAGATGTGGGGTTCCGCGAGGTGTGTCAGTGTCCTGTAACGTGACACAGTTGGCGGGGGGCAGAGTCTTCCAGGCCTGTGGGCTTGGCTGCTGCCCTCCTGAGGAGCTGAGGATGAGGAGGGCATGGCTAGGAGGCGGGAGCTGCCGTGTGCAGGGTTCGGATGTAAACTGGTAAGTAGATTGTGCAGTGCAGACAGCTCGTTTGGTGGGTAAGGAGTGTATCATTTGCAAAAGGCCCACCCTGGTTATCTGATTGTGTCAGCCTTGGGTAGGTTTCCCGGCTTGCGTCTCGGCCCAGGTGCACCCCTGCCTGCAGCACCCTCCGTGTTCGCTGTCTCAGGACAGGGGCTTCTGTGCTGCCTGCATCACACTGATGTGAAGTGTCAGTGCCCCATCCAGGTCAGCAGAGCGTAGCGCCCCTGAGCTCAGCAGGGCGAGCCCCATCTGAGGGTTCCCCCACCCACTGCTAGCCCAGAAGTTGGACCCACATTTGTTCCCAGAGTCTGGGATGTCTATGGGAATGGGTGTCCTGTGTTGGGCATTGTGGCCTTTTGAGGTGACGACACTTGCCTGTCAGTTGCTCTTGGAGGGTGAGTGATACTGTCTTGCTGCCCAGATGATGGCAAAGCCACTTTCGACGAAGGTGTGCTCAGCCGAATTCCCTGTGAACACCTTGCGTCTGTACAGGTTTTTTAAAAAGGGCTTAATGAGTTAGTTTCTTATTGAGAGACCAGGCAGAGAAAGGGGTGTGTGTGTTTGCATGCAGGAAGCCTAATTATATTTTTCCTTCCACATGAATCTTGCTGAGATCTGAGCTACACATTTAAGAAGAAAGGGTGAGAGGGTTGCTCCGTGGCTCTATTCAGCCTCTCTGCACCCTCCGGCCTGTGCTGGCCCCACTGCCTCATCTGTTTGCTGGATGGTCTTTAACTTTGCTGTGAAGTGTGGGTTTGCCCAGGTTGAGTTTATGGGGGTAGTGCTGTAAGGTCATTTGGAATTCTCTGTCTCATAACCACATAAAACAGTTTTACAGGCTTAAATTAGATGAATCAACTTGTTTTCCAGTATTGCTTAATAGAAATCCAAGAATTGAAGGATCAAAATTCTGTGTTTCTTTATGTTATTGGACTTCAAAAATTCCTCAATGTATCTGCTTTCAGAGTGAAAGCTGAAAACAGCTGTTAATGCTGAATTATTTCCCATCTTCAATCAAAATTCAAGTGGAGAGAATTCTTTAAGTTGGTTGTCATCATTTTATTAAAATATCAGAAAATATTATAGAAACATATGTGGAATTTCCAGTGCTCATTTCCTACAGAGGAGGATGGAAAAAGTTCCGTTTTAAGCACATAACATAGACTGAAGGAAAGAGTAGAGCATTCCCCTGAGGTTCCTGTGTGGGCTGCCAGCCTGCGTGGGTTACGCATTGTGTGGGTTTCTAGACCCTGGTCCAGTTCTGCTGTGCCCGCCTGCTGGGCGCCATTACATGCACTGCTGGTGTCCTGCTTTGCAGGGCTGCAGGGGCACTTCCTGCTGCGGGGCCGAGGGCTCCATCCTTCTTCCACTGCCTGTCCCTGTCCCGTGCCCTGTGCCCCCTCACAGGGGAAGGTGAGGCCAGCTCACACCACAGAGCATGCGGCCAGCAAAACACAAGGGCTCTCTGTGGGGAGAAGTGCTGGGCAGCCCTCTTGTGGGAGCTGATGGCCTCGAATCCATGTGGGGATACATTCAGGTTGTGTGGCCAGGGGGGTCATCTCCTCACATACTTGGGTCTGAGTGTGAGCCAGGGAGGAGGCCATGCAGGTAAGGAGGCCACACGGTCAGGAGGCTGTGTGGGTGGGGAGGTTGTGCGGGTGGGGAGGCTGTGTGGGTGCGGAGGCTGTGCAGGTGGGGAGGCCATGAGGGTGCGGAGGCCCCTCGGGTGAGGAGGCTGTGCAGGTGGGGAGACCACGTGGGGGGAAGGCTGTGCTAGTGGAGAGGCCCCGCAGGTGGAGAGGCCGTGAGGGTGCGGAGGCCCTGTGGCTGAGGAGGCCCTGCAGGTGAGGAGGCCATGAGGGTGGGGAGGCCTCCAGGTGATCTGGAGCTCCATTCTGGGGAGGGTCAAGGAATGAGAGGGCTGTGGCGGCTGCTTTCTCATACTCCTTTCCCCAGAATATTTTCTTCTCCCTTCTCTTCCCTACATTTTTGCCCTTTATAATTGGGTATTCTTTTTTGTGGCTTTAAAGGGCCTAAAAATAATTTCATTAATAACTGATACTTTACATGGAATTGCCAAACAAATTGGAGTGGAAGCAGAAAACTTCCCCATAAAGACAAACTCATGTCTTATTTATTTTTTAATTTTTGAGACGGTCTCACTCTGTCTCCCATGCTGGAGTGCAGTGGTATGAGCTCAACTCACTGCAACCTCCGCCTCCTGAGTTCAAGTGGTTCTCATGCCTCAGCTTCTTGAGTAGCTGGGATTACAGGTGCCCGCCACAATACCTGGCTAATTTTTGTACCTTTGTAGAGATGGGGTTTCATCATGTTGGCTAGGCTGGTCTCGAACTCTTTACCTCAGGTGATCCGCCCGCCTCGACCTCCCAAAGTGCTGGGATTACAGGCATGAGCCACTGTGCCCAGACTCATGTCTTATTATTATTATTATTATTTTAAAAAAGATTGCATTTAGCTGTTGATTCAAATTAGGAAGTAAGTTTCTCTGTTGACTGGTCACTGATCTTTTTGGGCAGTGCATGCTTCAGAAGGAGCTCTTTCCCATTTGTTTAGGAGGTGCTGAATTATTTTGATAGAACTCATAATATAGCCTGCAAAAATTGTTGGTTTTTGGTGGAAGAGAAGTTTTGAAAAATAGGTGCCATGCTTTGTACTCTGTGGCTTTGGTAATTGTCAGCGTGTTCCATGCCCACTGACTCCATCCTCCATGCTCTGCTCTGCTAGTTAATGTAGCCGATTCCTTCAGCGAGCAGTTATGCTCCACAGTAGTGCAGCCTAATGTTTTTTCAGCAGGGGAGAACCTGCTTGCAGAGGGAGGTGAAGGCTCGCGCACGTGCCAGGTCTTCCTGTGTTGGTTGAGGGACCTGTGTGCGTGTGTTTATATATATATATATATATATGTATATATATATATATATATATATATTTTTTTTTTTTTTTTTTTTTTTTTTTGGGGACCAAGTTTCACTCTTGTTGCCCAGGCTGGGGTGCAGTGGTGCAATCTCGGCTAATTGCAACCTTCGCCTCCTGGGTTCAAGTGATTCTCCTGCCTCAGCCTCTCAAGTAGCTGGGACTACAGGTGCCCGCCACCACACCCGGCTAATTTTTTGTATTTTTAGTAGAGATGGGGTTTCACCATGTTGGCCAGGCTGGTCTCGAACTCCTGACCTCAGGTGATCCCCCTGCCTCAGCCTCCCAAAGTGTTGGGATTACAGGCGTGAGCCACCGTGCCTGGCTGTGTGTGTTACTGTTAGCACATATGAATACGTGTCAAGTACAGAGACATGGTCTTCACACAGCCTGCACGTTGCTGTCGCCAAAGAGGGGATCCTAAAATGATGGCCCAGTGGGAGGTTTGTAGGTTTTGGGGGTGGCTTTTTCAGGACACTTGGCACAAGGTCACAGATATTTGTGGCTTTGGAATGGAGTTCTGCCCTCGGCACCCCCAGCCCTGTGCATTTCTTGGAGGTTCCACCCTGCACAGTGAGGAAGTCACACGCCTGTGTAAGAGCTGACCAGGGGACCACCTTCCAGAGCCTAAGAGAAGGTCCTGAGGACTCTGTACACATTATTTTCATTGAAAAGAAATAGTTTACTCTGAAAAAACAAACGTGGGAAAGCTGAGCTTCATTGAGCCTCACGGACAGTTTGTTGTAACTGAGAGGAGGGTAGGAGGGTCAGTGGGTTCAGGAGGGTGAGGACTTCTTGGCCAGGTAGCGTTGTTACATCTATCTGAAAGTCACAGATAACTAAGTATCAAGTCGTCACAGATATTTAAGTATCCTGAATGAGATGGCTACCTGCATGATGCATTGAAAACATCATTACTGGTTGCGTGCAAGATGCATTGAAAACATTGTGACCTGCACAGTGGCAGCACTGATATGTGTGGGCTTTTGAACGTGTGGACTGGAATGTTAAGAGTCCTTCAGAGTTATGACAATAGTTTGATTTGAATGTTCTTTTCTTGGCGAATAAATGCTATACATCAAATTTAGCCAGGAAGCTAGGAAAGCGAACCCACATGAAGGGCACAGGCCCATAGGCTGCTCCAGGTGCCGTTAGGGGCCCGAGCCACGCGCTTCCCGCTCAGCCTCCTGAGAGCCATGACGGCGTCTCTGTTCTGCCTCACACTGGACTTGCTAGTTTCATATTCTTGTTATGGTTCCGAGGCTACAAGCGGTTGGATTCTGTGAGTCACTGTCTTCCTCCTCCCAGCTGCTTTCAAATGGGTCGTCTCTTTTTTTAGAACTGATTTTTTTTAATCAGTGATTTATGGGGTGAGTTGTAGCGCTCTCCTGAACTGCAGAGGGAGCGCACTGAGGAACCTGGGTTTTGATGCTGTGCACATTGGCTGAGTCACCAGCCCAGGGCCCCGTCAGTCCCATTATTAAGCTCATTTCTTGCTCTTCTCATCGTTACTCAGACGCCTTTAAAAAAGCAAACTCCTGCTTGCCGTCACTGGCTGTTTGGCAAATGGGTGTTTACCCTGGAAAGACGGGCATTTTGTCCTCTGGAACGTCTATGGCGCCCTTTGGTGACGTGGTCGGTTTCTGACCACTCTATCTTGTGGGTGTCCTTCCTGCTTCCACCTTCCCTTCCCGAACGCCTCCACCTCCAGGGCTTTAATCTTCCTTCTGTGTGTGTGCCATGCAGGGTTTATGACTATTGTGCCAAAAACTTGCTACATCTCAAAAGAAGTAATTGCATCCATTTGTTGGTGATGATCATAAACAGTGCCCTTTAAGGGAGACTAATTGGTAAACCCGGCTGCTGTGGGTAGAAAGACAGCGGTGGCTGCGGAACGAGGGCTCCGCCTCTTCGGAGCCTGCACAACCGTCCTGCCTTCTTTCTTCAATATCCAGTAGGGGAGTTAATTTTAATAAGCCCTTGAAAGCAACAAGGCAGGAAAGTGCTAAGACATTGAGTTGTGAGATTTACAATTACAACCAGCAGCCTCTCATTTTCCCTTCGCTGGGGGTTGCTGCTTCGGTTTTGGGCTGCGGGGTATGTTGGTAGTGACATCGGCCCTTTGTGCTGCGCGACTCATGAATTGAGATAACTTTTTACTAAGTGCTTTGTGCAGTAGGTATGAAAATGGGGAAAGAAGGAACACTGTCCAGGGTAGAGAGGCGTGGAGAGATGCTGTGACTGATGGTAGGTCTTTTCTTTTGGGCTCCTGGTTTTAAATCATTTTTTGTTTCGCTAATAGCTTGGAAGATGGTTTTTGTGTCTTAATTCAAAGATTGAAGACTGTGGGCCGGACCCAAACTAATTCCATTGGCATCAGAGAGAGGGATTCTTTACATATTTATCTATAGGCACGATTGATTTTTTTTTTTTGCTGAATTATCTGGTTAGTCAAATCATATATTAGAGAAGTAATATACCATTAAAAATTAAAAAATAAAAAATGTATCTGTAAACATATCCCCCTTCCATTCCAGTCTTTGTCTCTGTGTAATTTTAGAACCCTTGAGCCATGACGTACATAGAGTTTGTATTCTTTTAATATCTTGCTACTTCATCGTTTTAATGTTTAATCTTTGGGTTGATGTATCACAGTTTACTTGACCATTTCTTACAGGTGTTTGGTTTAGTTTTTTTTTTTCCTTTAACTTTAATGTAAATTTGGGTGTTTGGCTGGTAGTTTTAGCAGGATTTAAGGCAGAGCCTCAGTTAAGGCCTTGTATCGATTTATGGTCCCTAGTTTGAGGAGGGAGGTGGCAATCTGCCCTTTCTTCTAAAATTGGTATGTTAAATCACAATGGACATTTACTTGATTTTGAGCACTTGGGGCTCCCCTGGGGTTCACTGGTGTTGCAAGGTCAGGGCTGGGGATCTTCTGCTGGAGAGGCCCCAGTGTGCCCAGCGCAGGGTCCTGAGTGCGTTGCTGCAGGAAGAAGCCCTGGCCTTTGTCCTCCAGCGGCCGTTGCTCTGGGAAGAGCTGGTTGCTCCAGGAATGAGGTCTATGCTCTGAAGCCCATGGTCAGCAGACCAGCAAAGGTCAGCACAGAAGACCTTATTATGTGAATCATTCATTTAACAAGCATTCATGGAATACACACTCCATGCAGTTGGAACTTAGAGTGGAAGGCCATCAGCTCACTGTTGCCTGAGCAGAGGCTTGGTCTCTGGGTCCCTGTTGCAGCCTCTGCTCCTAGGAGATACACGGTGAGTGTTGGGGGGCCCTCCACAGGCACAGTTGCCGAACAGGGACCTCTCCCAAGGGCCTTAGCCCTGGGCCCTGAGCTCTGAAGAGGAGGAAGGCGTTCCTGGGGCCAACTTCCCTTCTGGATGCTGAGCTCTGCACAGAGAGAAACTCTTCCACAATCACTGCAGTGAAGTTCATAAAACAAATAACACTTTAGAGACTGGGGTCTGCATTCCCTGGAATTTCCGTGGCCGTAGATGGTGGCTGTACCATGTGACTGAGGGTCTGTGTTCCCTGGAATTTCCGTGGCCATAGATGGTGGCTGTACCATGTGACTAAGGGTCTGTGTTCCCTGGAATTTCCGTGGCCATAGGTGGTGGCTGTACCATGTAACTGAGGGGCTGCATTCCCTGGAATTTCTGTGGCCGCAGGTGGTGGCTGCACCATGGGACTGGGGTCTATGTTCCCTGGAATTTCTGTGGCCATAGATGGTGGCTGCACCATGTGACTGAGGGTCTGCATTCCTCGGAATTTCTGTGGCCATAGATGGTGGCTGTACCATGTGACTGAGGGTCTGCATTCCCTGGAATTTCTGTGGCCACAGGCGGTGGCCATACCATGTGACTGAGGGTCTGTGTTCCCTGGAATTTCCATGGCCATAGGTGGTGGCTGCACCATGTGACTGCGGTCTGTGTTTCCCAATATCCGTGGCCATAGATGGTGGCTGTACCATGTAGCTGAGGGGCTGCATTCCCTGGAATTTCTGTGGCCACAGGTGGTGGCTGCACCATGGGACTGAGGGTCTGCATTCCTCGGAATTTCTGTGGCCATAGATGGTGGCTGTACCATGCAACTGGGGCCTGCATTCCCTGGAATTTCCGTGGCCACAGGCGGTAGCTGTACCATGCAACTGGGGCCTGCATTCCTTGGAATTTCCGTGGCCGCAGGCGGTGGCTGCACCATGCAACTGGGGTCTGCATTCCCTGGAATTTCCGTGGCCACAGGCGGTGGCTGCACCAGGCAACTGGGGTCTGCATTCCCTGGAATTTCCGTGGCCACAGGCGGTGGCTGCACCATGTGTCAGGTCCTCTGTCTCAGGAGTTGGTGCCATTGTCTCTATTACTCCCTCGCCTGACACAGAGCGGCAGTTCTTGACTTTACCACTCCCAGGAAGCACACAGGCAAAACAATTCAGAACAATCTGTTTTGAATCCTTGTTTTATTTCCCCATTCCCTTTCTCATCGCATGGAAATTCACATCCCTGTAAAGCTGAAAATGGTGTGGATCTCCCCTGATGGTCTTTCCAAGGAATTATCAGCAGGTAAACTAGACCGTGTGGGCCAGTTTACCTGAAATGAAAACAGAAACGTCACTGGGCTTTGCTGGGAGATTCAGCGTCTTTGTCAGTGATAGAATCATCCTAAGCAGGTTGTTTGTTGTGCTGCAGATCCACACGGTTAGCTGTGTCAGGATTAAAATTACCCAGTGCGGACAGTGTAGCTTAATCCTCATGGAAGGGTGTCAAGTACATTGAAGAGCAGCTGCCGAGCCTGCCATTGTTGGGAGAGGGGCAGGTGCATCTCTCGCTTGGCCCAGTGCTGCAGGAGGCCGGGCTCATGTCAGGCCGTGCGTGTGAGCGGGTTGGATTTTTAGCATGCTGGGACGGTAAAGCACAAACATCTATTTTTAACTTGTGGGTGACCTTCTTCTGTGCTGCTTGAGTCTCTGTGGGCCTTTCTCTGCTTCCTTCCTGAGGAGTCTGTGCCAGGGTCCCAAGCGTTCTCTGGGCTGCACTTCTGTGCCTGCCTGCTCAGGAGCCTCCTCCTGGTGGCTGTGGGACCGGGCTGGGCCCACACTGTCAGCATCGTCCAGGGTAAGCAAGCCCATCCCTCCCCACCTCAGTGTCCCCAGCTGTTGAATGGGGCTAATAAACCGACTGTCAGGATTAATGTGGATCAGATGCGCTCATCTCACAGCCCTGCTTGGTAAATAGCCGCTTCCACTCTGTCCTCCAATGTGGTCCTCCATTTATTTTCTTTACCTCCATTTATCCAGGCGATTCCAGGTGACAGTGACTATCAAGAAGGGCGTACAGAGGAAATCTGTGGAAGGGAGCTCGAGGAGCAGATATGGGCGCAGGGAACGCAGTGCGGGGAGCACGGGTGCGGGGATCATGGGCATGGGGAGCACAGATGGGCGTGGGGAGGACGGATGCAGGGAGCATGGGCATGGGGAGCACAGATATGTGTGGGGAGCATGGGTATGGGGAGGACGAGTGCGGGGAGCACGGGTGTGGGGAGCATGGGCATAGGGAGCACAGATGGGTGCAGGGAGCACAGGTGTGGGGAGCATGGGTGGGGGGAGGATGGGTGCGGGGAGGATGGGTGCGGGGAGCATGGGCGTGGGGAGCATGGGCGTGGGGAGCACGGGTGTGGGGAGCAGGGGTGTGGGGAGCAGGGGTGTGGGGAGGACGGGTGCAGGGAGCCTGGGTGTGGGGAGTACAGATGGGCGCGGGGAGCCTGGGTGTGGGGAGCATGGGCGCGGGGAGGACGGATGCGGGGAGCATGGGCGCGAAGAGGATGGGTGTGGGGAGCATGGGCGCAGGGAGGATGGGTGCGGGGAGCCTGGGCGTGGGGAGCAGAGATGGGCACAGGGAGCACGGGTGCGGGGAGCAGGGGTGTGGGGAGGACGGGCGCGGGGAGCCTGGGTGTGGGGAGTAGAGATGGGCGCGGGGAGCCTGGGTGTGGGGAGCATGGGCGCGGGGAGGACGGATGCGGGGAGCATGGGCGCAGGGAGGATGGGTGCGGGGAGCATGGGCGTGGGGAGCAGAGATGGGTGCGGGGAGCACGGGTGTGGGGAGCATGGGCGCGGGGAGGACGGGTGTGGGGAGCATGGGCGCGGGGAGGACAGGTGCGGGGAGCATGGACATGGGGAGCAGAGATGGGCGCGGGGAGCACGGGTGTGAGGAGCATGGGCGCGGGGAGGACGGGTGTGGGGAGCATGGGTGCGGGGAGCATGGGCGCGGGGAGCATGGGTGGGGGGAGGATGGGTGCGGGGAGCATGGGCGTGGGGAGCAGAGATGGGTGCGGGGAGCACGGGTGTGGGGAGCATGGGCGCGGGGAGCATGGGCGTGGGGAGCATGGGCGCAGGGAGGACAGGTGCGGGGAGCATGGACATGGGGAGCAGAGATGGGCGCGGGGAGCACGGGTGTGGGGAGCATGGGCGTGGGGAGAACGGGTGTGGGGAGCATGGGCGTGGGGAGCTGGGCACAGGGAGGACAGGTGCGGGGAGCATGGACATGGGGAGCAGAGATGGGCACGGGGATCACGAGTGTGGGGAGCATGGCTGCAGGGAGGACGGGCGTGGGGAGCATGGGCATGGGGAGCAGAGATGGGCGCGGGGAGCACGGGTGTGGGGAGCTTGGGTGCGGGGAGGACGGGTGCTGGGAGCACAGGGTATGGAGAGTGCGTGTGTGCTTCCTCTGCTCTGACAGATGCTGCCGAACACGTACTCTGTGCTCAGATGGGTCAGAGCCTCAGTGCCTCTTTTTTAAAAAATTCTTTCTTTTTTTAAAGATAGGACTTCTCTCTTCCTGGTGGCCCCTTTTAGTCGATACTCTTTTAAGCCTGCTTTTCCAGAGGAAAGCTGGGAAGGATGGCCTATATAGGTTCCAGTCTGGGCATATCTGGAAGAATGGCCTGTTTTAGGTTTGAGTCTGGTGTATCTGGGGACATCTTTAAACTTCCACTCAGAGTTCCAGAGCCACCTGTAGGGACTCCCCAAATGTCTGCTGGGACTTTCCCCACTGCTCGGGGATGATGAAGAGCAGGACCTCACCCTGCCACGACCTCTGAGGTCCTCCTTCCTGGAGGGCAGTGCCTTGGTGGCCAGTGTGTGCAGGAGGCTGGGCTGGCACCTTCGGGCTATGCTCTGCAGCGGGGGCTCATGACATGGGCATTCTTGTGCTCTGCACTGGGACTGGTGACGTGGGGCATCCTCATGCACTGGACCACGCCGGGTGCACATGAGCCAGACAGCTCCTGGAATTCGGAGCCTGGCTCTGTCTCAGGCCACCCACCTGTCTGTGGCACTTCTGGGGGATTGTGGGGACTGTATGAGTCTGGGTCTCCACCCTCACTGGCTGGACACCTGGCCAGGCTGGGGCTTTATGTTTCACCATCCCCTGTTCCGAGTTGTGTGAATATTTATTTTCATTACCTACTCTCATAAGCTTTCCTTTTTAAATAAAAAAATCAGAGACAGACTTTGAAGTTCCCTGGCCCCACCCTTTGTGGACCTAATGGTATTGCAGAAATTATGGCTTCAACTATGTATAATAACTGGGACTACTTTAAAAGTAACATAAAGGAACAAGGTGGAGTGTCCGTTTCAAGCAGTACATCATGCTGGATTCTTAAGTGAACATTATCAGGCTTTCAACACATTTTCTCTTTTTATTTACTTTGGAGAATATAATGGATACTCAGAAGCTGTTGGGATTTAGTAACAGGAAGTCATCCTTAAGGAGCTATTTAAGCAAGGGGGCAGTTGGAGTAAATGTAAGTTATGAACACACACCTATTCCAAACCAGAGAAATAAAGGCTTCAATTGTGCTGGGGTTGAAACTTGGTGGCTAGTGTGTCTTTCCTGCCCACAGTGACTGTGGCAGTGCTGTGGGCAGGAAATTCTGGAAACAAGACTTGGTGCCAGTGGTAGTTTTTGTGGTGATTCATTTGCTTTCAGCTCAAGTGACTATAGTCTTCCTTGCAAGTGGTTAGGTCTCCACCAATGGACCACAACATTGACATAGGACAAATGAGAAATAGCACTTGGGTTTTTAACAATTATTCTTTTTAATGGACACATTATAGTACATATCTATGGGATACAGCGTGATATTTCAATACATGTTTGTCATGTGTAATTAGCAAGTCAGGGTAATTAGCATGTCCATCATCTCAAACATTTGTTATTTCTTAATGGTGGGAATCTTCAAAATCCTCTCTTCTAGCTGCTTGAAAATATACAATAAGTTGTAAACTATAGTCACCCTACAAGGCTATAGAACACTAAACCTCATTTTTCCTATCTAGATGTAATTTTGTATCCATTAGTTAACCTCTCCCTTTCTCCCTTCCCGCCACCCTTTCCTGTCTCTAGAATCCACTATTCTACCCTCAGAGGGTAGAATATTATTTTCCTCATAGAGATCTTTAACCCTCTTGGTTAGATTTCTTCTGAGGTATTTTTATTTTTATTTTATATTTTTGTAGCTAAATGGGATTGCTTTCTTGATTTCTTTTTCCACTGGCTCATTGTTGGTCTATAGAAATGCTACTGATTTTTATATGTTCATTTTGTATTCTGTAAGTTTACTGAATTTGTTTATCAGTTCAAAGAGATTTTTGCTGGAGTCTTTTTTTTTTTTAATATATAAGAGCATATTGTCTGAAAACAGACAATTAGAGCTCCTCCTTTCCACTTTGGGTGCCCTTGATTTCTTTCTCTTGCCTGATTGCTCTTGACTAGGACTTTCAGTACTGTGTTGAATAGGAGTGGTACAAGTGGGCGTCCTTGTCTTGCTACAGATCTCAGAGAAAAAGCTTAGTGTTTCCCCGTTCAGTATTATGTTAGCTGTGGGTTTGTCACATATGGCCTTTATTGTGTTGAGGTATGTTTCCTTCAGTGCCTAGTTTGTTGAGAGTTTTTATCATGAAGCAGCGCTGAATTTTATCAAATGCTTTTTCTGTATCTATTGAAATGATCCTATGGCTTTTGTCCTTAATTCTGTTGATGTGATGTAGCGTGTTTATTGGTTTGTGTTTGTTGAGCCATCCTTGCATCCTGGGAGAAATCCCACTTGATCGTGGTGTATAATATTTTTGATTTGCTGTTGGATTCAGTTTGTTAGTATTTCGTTGAGGATTTTTGCATCTGTGTTCATCAGGGATATTGACCTATAGTTTTCTCTTTTTATTGTGTCCTTGTCTTACTTTGGTATCAGGGTAATGCTGGCCTTGAAGAATGAACTTGGCAGAATTCCATCCTCTTCAATATTTTTGGAATAGTTTGAGAAGAATTGAAATAAAAATTTGTAGAATTCAGCTGTGAAGCCACCTAGTCCTGAGGTTTTCTTTGTTGGGAGACTTTTTATTATTACTTAGTCATACATGTTACTCATTATTGGTCTGTTTAGGATTTCCGTTTCTTCTTGGTTCCGTCTTGGTAGGTTGTACACGTCCAGGAATCTATCGATTTCCTCTAGGTTTTCCACTCTGTTGACATATAGTTGTTCATAATAGTCTCCAGTGAGCCCTTGTATTTCTGTGGTATCAATTGTAATTCTCTTTTTCTGTTTCTAATTTTACTTATTTGGGATTTCTTTTTTTTTCTTAGTGTAGCTAATGGTTTGTCTATTTTATTTATCTTTTCAAAAAACCAACATTTTTTCCCATCTTTTGTATTTTTTAGTTTAATTTTATTTAGTTCCTCTTTGATCTTTGTTATTTCTTTTCTCCTACCACTTTTGGATTTGATTTGTTCTTGCTCTTCTAGCTCATTGCAGTTCATTGTTAGGTTGTTTATTTTAAATCTTTTTTTTAATGTAGGAGTTTATTGCTATAAACTTTCCTCTTAATACTGCTTTTGCTCTATACCGTAGGCTGTGATATGTTGTGTTTCTGTTTTCATTTGTTTCAATAAATTTTTAAATTTCCTTCTTAATTTCTTCATTGACCCACTGGCTATTCAAGGGCATATTGTTTAATTTCTATGTATTTATACAGTTTTGAAAGTTCTTGTTGTTGATTTATAGCTTTATTCTGTTACAGTCTGAGAATATCCTAGATGTGATTTCAATTTTAAAAAAATGTATTGAGACTTATTTTGTAGCCTAGCATGTGATTGATTCTAGAGAATGTTCCATGTGCTGAGGAGAAGAATGTGCATTTTGTATCTGTTGGATGAAATGTTCTGTAAATGTCTGTTAGGTCCATTTGGTCTATACTGTACTTTAAATTCGATATTTTGTTGTTATTTTCTGTCTAGATGATCTCCAGTGCTGAAAGTGGGGTTTTGAAGCCCCTACTATTGTTGTGTTGGTCTCTCTCTCTCTCTCTCTCTCTCTCTCTCTCTCTCTCTCTATATATATATATATATATTTGAGATGGAGTTTTGCTTTTGTTGCTTAGGCTGGAGTGCAGTGGTGCAATCTCGACTCATTGCAACCTCCACCTCCCAAGTTCAAGTGATTCTCCTGCCTCAGCCTCCCAAGTAGCTGGGATTGCAGGCATGTGCCACCATGCTCGGTTAATTTTTTCTATTTAGTAGACACAGGGCTTTACCATGTTGGCCAGGCTGGTCTTGAACTCCTGACCTCAGGTGATCCACCTGCCTCTGCCCCCCAAAGTGCTGGGATTACAGGTGTGAGGCACTGCACCCCGCCTCTCTATTTAGATCTACTAATATTTGCTTTATATATCTGGGTGCTTTGTTGTTGGGTGCACATATATTTGTAATTGTTATGTCCTCTTGCTGTGTTGATCTCCTTATCATTATATAATTACCTTTTTGTCTCCTTTTTACAGTTTTTAACTTAAATTGTGATTAATCTGAAATAAATATAGCTACTCTTGCTCACTTTTGATTTCCATTAATGTGAAACATGTTTTTCCATCCTTCATGTTTAGTCTATGTGTGTCTTTACAGCTGAAGTGAGTTTTTTGTAGGCAGCATAGAGTTGGTTTTTCTTTTTTTAAATCCACTCAGCCAGTCTATATCTTTTAATTGGGGTGCTTGGGGTTATTTTGCTACTGATATCACAGTCCAGACATTAAGATTTTCTCACTTAGTTACTTGTACACAAATTAATATGAAAAGGAAGTAGAGTTTTTCTTTTGTCTCTTTGAAGATAGTGATGGATTATTATTTTGATTTCCATACAAGTGAGGGACTCACCGTCCCTGTTGGGATTTTAGAATTCATTTCCTGTTATTAGGAACAGCAATGATCTGTAATGGGTTCCTGGAATCCTCCAGTGATGGTCTCAATATCTTAAAAGTTTCCTTTCATGCCTCATTTTCTGTTTCGCCCCTAGTAGCCACGCACCTGGGGCAGGAGACGGCCTTGCATTTCCTTGTTTTCTTGATGACTGGTTAGGTTTAGTGTTTGACACAGTTAGGATTCTGGATAAAATCAGCCCTTCTGGGAAGTGTGTAAGTCAAACAAGGACGTTCTGGTGGCGTTATACAGGTTTCCCATGCCCCATGAGTACAGGAATAGCTCCCTGGGGAAGGAGTATGGGCACATGATGGCAGGGAGCCATTCTTGGATGGCCCCGTCTTCTGCAGGAATTCTCATGCAGGGAGAAGCAGCACACGGCGACTGAGCGGGTGGGGATTCTGCTGATAGTTTTGATTGTTATGATTTGCTCCTGAAAGGTGATGTGGGATGAAGAGCAATATTTAGAATGCTGACATTCCTTGAAACAAAGATATAGAAAAAATCTTATAATTGTAGGGTGCCTTTTAGTTTTCAGCCGCTCTCATGTGGATCCTTTTTCGTCCTTCTGAAATGCTTTCCCAGGAGACAGCATTGCTCTCTTTGTACAGATGAGGAGACTGGGTTTCAAATGGTTAGGAATTCATCGCAGGCATTGGAATCTTTGGTTTCCTGGAACATTTTCTATTCAAGTATAGACCACGTGGCCTCTAAAGGCTGGCTCACTCTTAACACCAAGATTGGGGATCCAGCCTCACCTCTGGGGTGGGCGGCAGGAGCTCCACAGCCATCCTGGGTGCTCTGGGGTGGGGTGGCTGAGCTGTGGCAGCCCCTCCCAGCTGAGCAGCAAGGCCGGGGAAAGCTCATTCCATCCCCCTTGGTTCTAACCAGGTACAGGCTTACACTGCACATTTCCTTAGCTGGGAACCTTTAGAACTTTACATTTAAAATCTAATCTGTGATCCAGGGGGTTGATACATGGGTATTCACTGTACAATTCCTACATTTTTTGTACATGTAATTTTTTTTTATGTGTGTCATGGATGACAAAAGAAATGCAACCCCTCCGAGTTAGCTTTTCTGTATAGCACCTTCTAGAATCAGGAGGCTGGGCAGGGTTTAGTTTCATCAGAAATCTTTATGTTTCTGGTCAAGAGACGGCACTATTAAATTCTTGGTTGTGTGGTTTCTGGAAAAGAAATATTCTAAATGAGTTCCAGGAATCACCTCTGTGGCATTTCTACAGGAAAAGTGACCACTCTTGAAGCTTCGCCATCACTCACAAGAATGATTGTGATGGTTTCTAAGCGGTCGCCAGCCAATCTTTAGTTCTTTTATGCAGAGTGCTTTCATTCGAAGTGAAGTGCCCTTCTGTTTAATGGTGACCTCCAGTTATTACAGGGATTGCAGCCGCATTTGATGGATGTGAACCTGCTCATCTCTGGCTCCCCAGCCTCGCCTCTGGGGTGGGCGGCAGGAGCTCCACAGCCATCCTGGGTGCTCTGGGGCGGGGAGTCCCTAGTGGGAGTGGACAGTGCATGGCCGGGACGTTCCTGTCCGATGTTCCACACTGGCGTGTGCGCGTCTCTGGCCTGTTTCCTTCGTCCGTGGGTCTGTGGCGTTTTCTCCATGCGTGCGTGTGTGGCCTGTTTTCTCCGTGCGTGCCTCTGTGGCGCGTTTCCTCCATCCGTGCATCTGTGGTGTTTCTTCCGTCCCTGCGTCGGTGGTGTTTCTTTCGTCCGTGTGTCTGTGGTGTTTCCTCCGTCCATGCGTCTGTGGCCTGTTTCCTCCGTCCATGTGTCTATGACGTTTCCTCCCTCCGTGCGTCTGTGGCCTGTTTACTCCGTCCGTGCGTCTGTGGCGTTTCCTCCGTCTGTGTGTCTGTGGCCTGTTTCCTCCTTCCGTGCGTCTGTGGCTTTTCCTCCGTCCGTGCGTCTATGGCCTGTTTCCTCCTTCCGTGTGTCTGTGGCCTGTTTCCTCCTTCCGTGTGTCTGTGGCCTGTTTCCTCCTTCCGTGCGTCTGTGGCTTTTCCTCCGTCCGTGTGTCTATGGCCTGTTTCCTCCTTCCGTGTGTCTGTGGCCTGTTTCCTCCTTCCGTGCGTCTGTGGCGTTTCCTCCGTCCGTGCGTCTGTGGCCTGTTTCCTCCGTCCGTGCGTCTGTGGCGTTTCCTCCGTCCGTGCGTCTGTGACGTTTCCTCCGTCCGTGCGTCTGTGGCGTTTCCTCCGTCCGTGCGTCTGTGGCGTTTCCTCCGTCGGTGCGTCTGTGACGTTTCCTCCGTCCGTGCGTCTGTGACGTTTCCTCCGTCCGTGCGTCTGTGGCGTTTCCTCCGTCGGTGCGTCTGTGACGTTTCCTCCGTCCGTGCGTCTGTGACGTTTCCTCCGTCCGTGCGTCTGTGGCCTGTTTCCTCCGTCCGTGCGTCTGTGGCCTGTTTCCTCCGTCCGTGCGTCTGTGGCGTTTCCTCCGTCCGTGCGCCTGTGGTCTGTTTCCTCCGTCCGTGCGTCTGTGACGTTTCCTCCGTCCGTGCGTCTGTGACGTTTCCTCCGTCCGTGCGTCTGTGGCCTGTTTCCTCCGTCCGTGCGTCTGTGGCGTTTCCTCCGTCCGTGCGTCTGTGGCGTTTCCTCCGTCTGTGGATCTGTGGTGTTTCCTCTGTCTGTGAGCCTGTGGCCTGTTTTCTCCGTCCACGCTGGAGGCCGTCGCTTCTCTCTAGTCACCACTTACTGATCGCTGTGTGCTGAGCCTGTGTCAGGCGTGTGGCATGTGTCCCCTGTGTGGCAGGGGTTTGCGTGACACACAGGGACACACGCTCGGGGAGCCGCAGGGATGGGGTCATAGCCACGTAGCGGAGCCCTCGGTCTGAGGGGCTTGGTGCCCACCCAGCTCTTCCTGAAGCGGCCTCGGGGCAGATCCCAGCTCTGCTTCCTCTCCTGGAGGCACCTCATGAAGTAAATTAAGCAAATCCAAGGTAGGAAACGGTTTTGAAATGAGACCTGGTTTCAGGTGTGTGTGGTCATTTCTCTCTACATGTTTACTTCATATACCCTGAATGATATACTTTTCCACCTGGTATAACAATTAATTACCAGCCATTACTGGTACAAAATTCCATGAAGAATATTTGAGGAAGACATAGTCTCAAAAACATGCTTCATTTTCACAGCTGTGATTTGCATGGTAAAGCTGTCAGGACTGTGACTTTCTTTTGTTATCTTATATTTTTAGACCCTTGAAAGGAAGTTATTTAGTGATTACTTAAAATTGTGAAAATAATCTAATGATTAGAGAATCTCATTAGAACAAGTATTATATTTTCTGTTCCTTATGTAAATGAAATCATCTTAATCCAGGCCGATGTTGGCAGGAATGGTCACGTTTAAAATGGATAAGATGTTAATGTGATGTGCAGCCGTCCCCCTATGTTGTCTCTGGAACATTCCAGAACATCCATCTCAATTCTCACTTGTTGACACCCTACCCTGTTTTGTGATTATTCTTGTTTGCATCAGAATTTTGAATCCACGTACCTGAGATGATACTTACGTATGCGTGTACACATGCATGTGTGTGCATGTGTGTATGTGTATGTATGTGCATGTACGCGTGCGCATGTGCATGTGTATATGCATGTATGTGCGTATGTGTGTGCATGTGTACGTGTGTATATGCATGCGTGTATGTGCATGTACGTGTGTGCATATGCGTGTGCATGCATGCGTGTGCGTATGTGTGCATACATGTGCACACATGTACACACGTGTACATGTTCATGCATGTGCGCACGTGCATATGTGTACACGTGTATGCGTGTACATGTATGAGCATATGTACACGTGTGGATGTGTGTGTATGCATGTGTGTGTGCACAGATATGCCTTTTCCTTTCATACAGGCTGTTTTGAGTATTGCTGTTAGGCAGTGACAACTTTCCGTTTCCTCAGTCAGAAAATGGGTAGCTCATCATTAATAAAGATGAACATTCGATATCAGGAATCCCTAAAAACAATGGAAATTGTCATATTAAATGAATAAATTCCAAAACAAAGATAGTGTTCTGTACTGTGTGTTTACATTGAACTTTCTTATAAACATTGGTATGAATGTTTCCCACTTATTGGAAATCACATGACTAGTTTAAGCTGAAACGTGGAATATTCTGTCTTCAGATCACTTTTGCATATTTATGATTGATCTGTTCTGCTGTTCTGGAAGCTCTGAAAACCACTCGGTCTTACCCTAGCTGGTGCCACAGTTGTGAGAATTCAGGGAAACAAGGTGTTTGCCAGTTTAAGTATTTTAGATGTCAAGCTGCCTCTTACCTGCATCATAAACCAGTCTTAAAGAAAGACACAGTGTGACTTGTAGTGGATTATATCAGTTTTATTTTCTGTGGCTGAATCATCACTCTACATTGTGAATTAATGTTATTTTTCGGCTCATCTTCATAATGCAGGGAGGTTCTCCAGTGTTGAGTGCAGGTTCAGTGAAAGCGCTAACACTGTTACCACGGGCTTAAACGGACTTGTTTTCTGAGGCGATAACCCTGGAGTCAGGCATTCAGTGTCTGCCCATCACTTGGTTCCGAGTTCTCGGTCCCCTCTTGCTCTCCTCCCCCCGCACCCCCTTGCTTCTGTCTTGTCTTCTTTTTGACTAACAGGCCCTCTGCAGATGGTGTGTTGGGGGCCGGGGTCTGCTGTGAGTCTTTGATAACCTTGGGAAAGAACTTTTTCTTTGGAGCAAGACCCCTCTCAATAAACTTTCAGTAGCCCAACTATTGTCCGTTGTGTGAACTATTTGTGGAAAATGCTCAGCATTTTTCCTTGGATTCTGGCTGATCTTTCTCCACCTGCCAATTTCTCCTCAGTTTGCCGTGTCTGTACCGTCACCAACCCCGTTCCAGCCGCGGTTACATGTAAAGTAATTGAAGCAGAGCTCTGCAGATGAGAGAGTGTGTGTCGCCCCCCGAGTTCCCTTCCTGGCCTCTGAGTGTGAGTTGTGTTTTGTTCCGAGGGATGACTGAGGCTCCTGGCCCCTGTTTTGGAGCACCCCACACCAAAGTGGGTGTAAAATGAAAAAAGGGTTTATGCTATATTATTGTAATTCATGGAGCAGATGATAAACATGCTTGAATCTGAACAGCAGCTGAAAATGAGGACATGTTACCAGTTTGGATGTTGGATGACCTTCTTGAAAAAAGCTTTTGTCATACTTTAGAAACTGTGCATGTGCTGTTTTCTATTTCATACTTAGAATCTGTACAGTATGTGTTGTATGAATGTGTTGTATGAGCGTGTTGTGTTGTATGTGAGTGGCATGGGTTGTATGTGTGTTGTATGTGCATGTTGTGTTGAGTTGCATTCATTGTATGTTTGAGTGTTATGTGTTGTATGAGTGTGTTGTACATGTATTTGTGAGTTGTATGTTTTGTATGTTGTATGAGTGTTGTGTTGTATGAATGTGTGTTGTATGAGTGTTGTATGTGTATGTTGTATGAGTTGCATGTATTGTATGTTGTATGGGTTGTATGTTGTATGAGTGTGCTGTACGTGTTTGTGAGTTCCATGTGTTGTATGTTGTATCAGTGTTGTGTGTTGTGTGAGTGCCTTGTACATGTATTTGTGTTGAGTTGCATGTGTTGTATGTTGTATGTGTTATATGTTGTATGTTGTATGAGTGTGTTGTACGTGCATATTGTGTTGTGAGTTGCATGTGTTGTATGAGTGTGTTGTATGTGTATGTTGTGTTGTGAGTTGCATGTATTATGTGTATGCAATACACATATATGTTGTATGAGTGTTGTGTTGTATATGTTGTATGTTGTGTTGTGCATGTTGTGTTGTGCGTGAGTTGCATGTGTTGTGTGTGTTGTATGAGTGTGTTGTATGTGTATGTTGTGTTGTGAGTTGCATGTGTTGTCTGTATGTTGTATGAGTGTTGTGTTGTATGAGTGTTGTACATGCATGTTGTGTTGTGAGTTGCGTGTGTTGTGTGTGGTACGTGTATGTCGTGTTGAATGTGAGTTGCATGTGTTGTACATGTGCTGTATGAGTGTGTTGTATGTGTATGTTGTGAGTTGCATGTATGTTGTATGTGTTGTGTTGTATGAGTGCATTGTATGTGCATGTTGTGAGTTGTGTATGTTGTTTTGTATGAGTGTTGTGTGTTGTATGTGCATGTTATGAGTTGTGTGTGCTGTATGAGTGCATTGTACATGTGTGTTGTGTTGTATGTGTTACGTGTGCTGTATGTGTGTATGTGTTGTACGTACGTGTTGTGTTGTGAGTTGCATGCATTGGGTATGTGTTGTATGAGTGTGTTATAAATGCATATTGTGTTGTGAGTAGCATATATTGGGTATGTGTTGTATAGGTTGCATGTGTTGTGTGTGTTGTGTGTTGTCAGTGTTGTATATGTTGTATGAGTACATTGTACATGCATGTTGTGTTGTATGTGAGTTGCATGTTGTCAGTGTGTGCGTTGTGAGAGGCGGGGGCATCCACGTGACTGCTCCTCAGCAAGTCCTGCCGTGCAGCCCCTTCTGAGCGTGCGTCCTCCCGAGTAGCCTAGAAGCAGCAGCATGTTTGCCTCTGCCCCTCCCCAGGAGGCCTCAGCCAGGTCCTGTGCTCAGCCTGCCGTGGGCCATCTGCCTCTCTCGTCTCTCTCTCGTCGTCATCCTGCGCCTCCTCCCAGTCCTGAGTAGCTGGGATTACAGGTGCCTGCCACCACGTCTGGCTAGTTTTTGTATTATTAGTAGGGATGGGGTTTCACCATGCTGGCCAGGCTGGTCTTGAACTCCTGACCTCATGTCATCCGCCTGCCTCGGCCTTCCAAGGTGTTGGGATTACAGGCATGAACCACCGCACCTGGTCCGTCTGCCTTTTAGTTACAACCTGTGTGTTTTCTGTTTTAAATTTCATTTTTCCAGGTCAGAGCAGTAGTTTCTTTTTCGTGGTGTTGCTGTGAATGTCTGTTATGATTAGGAGACTGGGTGGGTGCCCTCTCCCTGGTGCCTGGCTCTTTCACATGAGGTGGGGGTCAGCTTAGCTGCTTCTGATTTTGGGAGGCGCACTGCTTCTTGGGGCAGCTTGCCGGCCGGGGTCTGCCTGTGGTATTTCCTGGGGAGCTACATCTGTCCCCGTAGGCCTGGGGAAGTAGGCAGGCCCTGAGTACACGCCTCAACACACGTGCCTTCCACCAGCCCCCAGGCCCACGTCCAGACCCCAGCTGCGTCCTGTGGTAGCCAGTTCAGCTGCTGCCACCACGTTTATTGAACTTTTAATAGCTGTGCGCAGACAGGCCACGGGCAGACAGGCCACGGGCAGACAGGCCACGGGCAGACAGGCCACGGGCCGACCTCGTGGCTTTGCTTACCCCCAGTTCTATGTTACCTGTGTGCAGAAACCGGCTGCTCCCGGAGTCCTGCAGGCTTGGTTTCCCCGGCCCCGACTCAGGCCACAGGATCTCAGTCTTGGGTGATTCTGCTGCCGCGGGCCGGGCTCTGGGTGCCAGTGGATTCCCCACGCGCGGTGTTACTCCCGTGTTCACATCAGTGCGGGAGGGCGGTGAGGGAGGGAGGCGGGGACGCTCTGGATTCTTCTCCCTGCTCCTCACCAGCTCTGAACGCAGACCAGCCGTTCGCCTCGTTGCTTTTCCAGGGATGTTGTGAGTCTTTCGTGGGTAGGGAGTGATGCCCTTTGCTTTCTTCTCGCTTTCCCGGTAGGTGCTGAAGGAATAATTAATAATAATAAGGCCAGTTCGGAGAAAACAAAAACTCACAATTACATATGTCACCCGGACTCGTATTATTCCAGATAGCCCTTCTTTCCCACGAACTCACAGCTGCTCTTCGTTCCTCCACCGTAGCCACGCGTGGAGGGAGAGCTGCGGGACCTGGGCCTTTCCAGGGTGCTGCCGGCCTGCGTTGGTGACGGCCAGCGCTGAGAAGTTAGAGCACCCCATAAGTGCCACGGCAAAGACTTCGGCGTCTGTTGGGGGAGGAAAGCGCTTCTTTGAGTGATTTCCACTTGATTATTTACCTCTTATCAGCAGATTGTGTGGAAGGATGAGTGAATTCAGTGTAAGATTTATGGAGTGTTCCTGTAAGAGATAAGCCTGGCTCTTGTTTTCCTTTCGATCTCGTATATTTCATCGGGTTCGTTTGATTGATGTGTTTTGTTTTGGGAAAGCGGCTGAGGAGGAGTCACGTGAGTCTTTGCTCAGGGATTTTCCAGTGTGGGAATCTGGCGCTGTGGTTTCGCGTAGCGTTTGGTTCTGGAGGGTGGAGGACGATGTCCCAGTCCGCGTGTGCCTCGTCACGTGGCGGCGAAAGCATGGATTCCACGAGTCTTTTGCTAGAGAAAATCCAGGCGCTCCCAACCAACTGTGTGTGCTTTCCTTTTGGAAATGTCTCTAACTCATATACTGAACTTAGAATTTATTTAGTGTTTCTTATGTGAAGTTTCCTGGAACTACTGAAAATATTTTCCATGCTAGATGATCGCGTTACTGGACTCACACAATTAAAACTTTTTCTTTAGATTACATAATTATTTATTACCTATCCCCCGTTTTTCTTTTCAGTTAAAAAAGCACCACCTAGAACAATGTCCTAATGATGCCACCATGATTAGTGTTAGAATTTAGCTGTAGAGTGAGGTTAATAATGAATTAACAATCACTAGTATATAATATAAAGCACGGTTAAGGTATATATGTATATTTTATGAACCATCCAAAGCAAAAAATAAATTAGGGTCAAGAGAACTCACAGGTGCAGAAGTGTTATTTTTATTTTCTGTTTTATTCAGGAAATTTAAATCTTTAAAGCTGTTTTTGTTTTGTTTTGTTTTGTTTTTTTAAATTTCAAGGTCAACTCCAACAGAATTGATCTGTTCCTCAGCAGACCTAGGGGAGAGTACAGGTGCTGAACAGACCTGGGTATCTGCTAGTCGCGATTCAGTAGATATTTTCTTGTTAGTTGGTAATTAAAACATCGTTATAAAGGTTTTAATGTACTTTTTGAGCTTTATTACTATATATTCCTTCAGGAGTCTGTGAGAACTCTCTACTTTGTTTTTTCCCGTCTATTTAGTATTAAGTTAGGAGTTTTAATTCCTTCTACCCTGATATTTATTTAAAAATTCCCTATATATTTGTAGATATATATTTGGTTCATTTTAAAATGCTTGATACATTAACATTTTAAAATATCAAAAATATTTCAGAATATACATTTTTTAAAATGTAAAAAGTAACAGTATAAAAAATTGAGATACATAAATTTTAAAAAATCATCCTTACAACTCTTAGTACCAATGATTTCTCTGTAGCATTGTAATGTTGATTAACCCGGACATATAACAATGATCAATAGTGTTAATGTGTCGAGTGTATAACTGGGCTTATGTGTGTCATTTTATTGGATGATTTATTAACCACATGAAACAGCCAGTGTTACGAAAAGGGACGTTTGAGGTTTAAAGCCTTTCCTGGGTCCCGCTGGGGGTGAGGTGGGTCTGGGCCTACCCAGGACTGCTGATAACAGAACACAGCGGACTTGGTGATTTTTAGTCAAGAACTCACAGAATTTCGGTGAATCTCCCCAAACCATTCCTTCTTTTCTCTCTCCTGGAGCAAAAGAGAATTGTTAGGTTCACGTGTTGTGTCTTGTGAACGTTTATCGATTGCAAGACCCCAGAGTTTGCACAAAAGGCAGATGGGAGTTTCTGTGTGGAGATACCCTGAGCAACGTTGAAAACACTGGATCCTTTGTGTCCGGGCTTTTCCCCTTGGCACTACGGATGCTCTGGCCCAGAGGAGCCTTTGTGGGAGGCCGTCCTCGGTGCCTGCGGTGCTGAGTGTCACCCCTGCCTCCCACCCTCTGGTGTGGCCCCCTGGAGCCCTTGTGGGGAGCCTTTGTTTTTTCCCGTCTTTGTTTTTTCCTCCTGGGAGGAGGCTGTCCTCGGTGCCTGCAGTGCTGAGCGTCACCCCTGCCTCCCACCCTCTGGTGTGGCCTCCCGGAGCCCTTGTGGGGAGGAGGCCGTCCTTGGCACCTGCGGTGCTAAGCGTCAGATCCCTGCTTCCCACCCTCTGGTGCCATCAGCATCCCTCCTCCCAGTAGAATCGCCCCTGCTTGAGAGCCGCTGCCTTAAGTGGTGGCGTGAGACGTGCAGGTTTGTGTTTCTTCATTAGGAGTTTTAAATTTCTGAAAATCTAGTTGTGATGACTGTGAAACATACCTGGATGTGGACCTTCGAGTAGACAAGCTTCCGGATCTGTCATGGCACACGCATTTCAACCTGCCCAGGCGTAAATCCGCGTACAACTTTATTTCTCAGACATCTCAGCCTTTTCGAGGCACGGCTCCTGCTGTCTTTGCGTAGCTACTTATGCCTCTAAATGCTTCTGTGTGCTGGAAGCTGCTGTCCTGTCCCTGCTTCCTGGGATGCAGGGCTGTGGAATTTCTGCTGTGTTCCATGAAGGGTTAAAGCATTCCAGGGAAGGAGATTCTGAGATCTCCCTTTTTAAAGACACTTTTAGTCAGGGAAGTGCTTTCCAGCCATGTCCGTCTGTTCTCTCCTGGGATGGACAGGGCAGCTACTGTCCCTGTTCCCGAGCCTCAAAAGCCATTACGAAGTTCCAGCCAGGCCTTTACTTTCCCAATCCTATTTCAGCTGATCTCAGCCTTCCCTTGTAGATCTTTCTATTCATTTAGTTGGCATCCTTGCTTTCTTGTACCATCTCCCAGTTTTCCACAGTTTATTTACACTGGACATAGAATTGCAACAGAAACTCACCCATGCTGAGGTAGGGCTGCCCCAGGGATCTCCCCCTCTGCAGACCAGGCTGCCCACTGGAGAGTGGTATCACTGGGTCACGGTCACCATCTGCCCCAGCAGGGTCCAGAGTGTTTAGAGTCTTTCCTGGACATAGAAACCCTTTTGTGTGACGTTCAGATAAAACCAATCAGCATGTTCTGTTAATCACAGAGGTCGGAGCTGAGAACCATTAGCGTACATCCACCTCTCCCGAGAGTGTTCACGCCTCTTCCACGTGGGGCTAGGCTGCTGCTGAGTGTGGTTCTGCTGGCTGTGGGTGTGGCCTCTTTCCTCAACCACAGCCATCGCAGGCCTGCCACAGTTTTGGTTCTTCTAAAAGAGAATAGGCAACACAAGAGAAATAAGATAAGTTAGATTTGAAACCTTTAAAAATTATTTCCTCAAACATTGTATATATTTTCTGCCCATACCTAATTTGATAACAATTTTAAAAAGATGAAAAAGAAAAAAAAATTCCCCCATATCAAGTCTTTGAAAGGCATCCATCTTAGTTTTTATCCAATCAATTACTCTCTCTTTGGAGTCATATTTTATTGGTTTAAGTAATGTGTAACAAGTACACTGGCATAAACAGATTTAGGAGCAAACACAGCTGCTTCATGATTAGCGTTCAGCTCGCGGGGCCCAGCTGTGGGGGTGCAGCCTGTGCCTGCCTGTGCGCCAATAGGGCTGGTCACCTTGAACATCCAGGAGTGTCTGGGTGAGTGAGGTCTGGGCAAGGCAGCATCCATACACCTGCGTAGTTCTCACTTTGTCCGCGTTATCTGGCAATGCCACAAAATTATCAAGCAAGTGTTCTCCAAGTGCGTATTCACTTAGCGTTTGGAAAGTGCATAGGTACCTCATACAGTACCTTCAGGAGGAGCTAGGAACCCAGGAATGAGAGCAGGTGTGAGGCCTGTACTCTTTGTGTATAGATAAAATATGCATGTGCCTATCTGAGGGCAGAAAGTTAGATTGGGGTCAGAATGTGGAAGTCCTTACCTGTCAGATACTAGGAAGCCACTGAGGGCTTCGGAGAGAATCGTGCCTTTGATGTGCGGTATGCTGTGGAGCCACGGGGGACAGGCCAGGCTCCTGCGGGGCACTCGCCATGGCGAGAGGAGGAGAGAAGGCAGCCAGTGAGCTGAGCGATTCAGTGCCTGGGTCAGGAGGGGAAGAGGGAGTGCAGGAAGGCAGATGAAGCTGTGAGTCTACACCCTGAGGTCGGCGTTGTGCTTTGCTGGAAATCAGGAGGAGAAGCAAGTGTGGACCTGATTCAGAGATACTTAGAGACACCACCGCAAGCTGCGAGTTTGGAAATATGGAAGGAGGCTTGGGGAAAATCCGGACCAGGGTGGATTTGGGAGCCTCCTACATAGAAGTGCAGGTCAAGGAGCCAGAGTGTGAGGTGTGCATGTCGGGAGAGAGGAGGCCAAAGGAAAGCCCACATTTGGAAATGGAGGAAGGGTCGGAAGACCCAGAAAAGGCCCTGCTTAGAGTCCAGAGAAGAGCTGCACGGTGCAGTTCCCTAAAGCCCAGAGCCGAGAGTTTCCAGGACAAAGTCCCAAGTGTTGCTGAAAACCAGGGGGTGGGACTCCAGCTGGAGGCAGCGAGGGGAGCCTGGTGGCCCTGATTCCTGGGAGCAGCCAGAGCCTGGGGGTCACGGCGGAAGCTGGTGAGAAGCGCAGGGAGCAGGTGGAGATGGTCCTTCGAGGCCTGGAGCCTCACACGGGTAGCCAGCCGTGGACCAAGACACAGCTGAGGAGGGGCCTCAACCCAGAGCGTCTCCAGGTGGAGGAGGGAGCCAGGAAGGGCAAAGGTACACGGAAGAAAGGGGGCAGGCATGGAGCCAGGTCCCCAGGGAGGCTGCAGTCTTCTCTCTCTGTTCAGGGACTGGTTGTTGGTTATTCTGAGTTCTCAAAGTCATCCACTCGGTGCGGTCCAGAGAAAGATCCCAGGGGCCTCAAGCCTGGAGCAGGCCTTGTGCTTTTCCCAACACTGTGCGTGTTGACTCAGGGTTACTGTCAATGGCTAATTCTAGTGTGTCTTTTGTTGAAGTCTGCAGAAAAGCCTCAACCAGCACCAGCTTTTGAAGGACTTACAAAACTTGTGTTCTTCTGATTCTGGGATTTTTGCCTGAAATGCCTCGTATATTTTTGGCTAGGTGTTGTTAGCACTTGTGTTACGGCATTTGGAGCTCTGTATTTTTGTGATGTGCTAGCTGTGAGGATGTTTAAAATTAGATTCCTAGAAATCAGGTTATAGGAGCTCTCGGCCACGCTTCATGGGTTATGTTTTGACACCTCATAGTGGATCCCGTTGCGGTGGCTATTCTTAGTATTTGTGGAACACCTGACTCTTGATGCTAGGAGAATGTTATTTGTTTTCTTTGTAAGCCTAAAGTCTAATGACCTTGTAGAGTCTTTATACCCATCTCTTATAAATCAGCTTTAATATGCTTGAAAAAGTCCTCATTGTGCCCTTGAAAAGCAGGTGCACATTTTAAAAGTCATCCTTTTAAAATCCTTTTCTCCAGTCTGTGCCCTTTGTCTGTTTCGTTTCCTTCACTGCAACATCATGAAACAGGGACAAGAGCTAGAATCTGTTTCATACACAGAGCTTGAAACAGGGACAAGGGCTAGAATCTGTTTCATACACAGAGCTTGAAACAGGGACAAGGGCTGGAATCTCCATTTCATACACAGAGCTTGAAACAGGGACAAGGGCTAGAATCTCCGTTTCATACACAGAACTTGAAACAGGGACAAGGGCTAGGATCTCTGTTTCATACACAGAGCTTGAAACAGGGACAAGGGCTAGAATCTCTGTTTCATACACAGAGCTTGAAACAGGGACAAGGGCTAGAATCTCCGTTTCATACACAGAACTTGAAACAGGGACAAGGGCTAGAATCTCTGTTTCATACACAGAGCTTGAAACAGGGACAAGGGCTAGAATCTCTGTTTCATACACAGAGCTTGAAACAGGGACAAGGGCTAGAATCTCTGTTTCATACACAGAGCTGAACTGGGCTGAGCGACCTGCTCTGCTGACGTCTGTTTCTGTCATGAGAGGGAACCTAGGCCTCTTGACATTTCCTTTTGTACATTTTCAAAAAGATTATTTTTTCCTCTCTCTGGTCCGTTCCACTGTGAGATTCTCTCCTAAGGCTGTTTCTTTGCCTTCCATTTTGACAACTATGATTTAGTTTCCGAGATGATGAAAGGGTAGTAAAAAGGCCTGGGAAAGAGAAAGCAGGAAGGGAAGGAATTATCTCATGATTTTAGTCAGAAGGAAATCACTCAGACAGAAACGCTTTTACAAGTGGTCAGATCCCGGGAAGTGGGATTGAATAAGTGGCATCGTATCACACAACCCTGTTTTACATTCTTGCTGTTGCCAGGGGTAACGAAAAGAACGAGTATATTCATTCCGAGGTCAAATATATATCTTTGCTGACTCTGACTATAATTAGCAGAATTCGTTCAATTCAAGTTTGAGAATACCTTTACAGAAGAGGGTCTTCAGGCATGTGTGCCTATTTCTATTCGTATGTTCACATGTATTTGAGTATGAATGTGTGTATGTGTGCTGTGTGTGAGACCTCATTATTTGAAATCAAGAAATGTGCAGTAAAGTAGAGTTTATTAATTACAAGAAGTTACATTTGGGGGATAAACCATTTTGTATAGAATTGAATAATGGGGTCTTTGAGGGGTGTATATATGTATGTGTGTTTGCATTTATGTGTATGAAAGTGTGTATTGCATGTATATGTGTTGTGCATGTATGTGTCTTGGTACTGTACAGATGCATGCATGTGTATATGTGTGCATGTGTATTTGTGTTGTATGTATGTGTGTGCATGTGTTACATGTTTAGGCATGACATCGCACACATGTGCAAGTATGCATGCGTGGATGCTCCTGTGTATATAGTTATAAATGTATATGTGTGCATGTTATGTGTATGCATTTACATATGTTTGTGTGTGCCAGAATGTATATGCATGAACATGTATGTATATGCATGTGTGTTTGAGTGTTGTATGTGCATGTATGTGTTACATGTTGGTATTATGAATGTGATTATGTGAATGTGTGTGCATGTGTGAATGTGTGTATTGCATGTATGTGTGTGTGCGCATGTGTGTGTGTGAGATATGTGTCTGTGCATGCATGCATATGCACATTTGATTTGTGAGTCCTCTCTGGGAGGGCCATGTTCCTGGAGAGAGTGCATGGGATCCTCCGCTGTCCTCTCAGGGAGAGAGATATTTTAAAGGTTTGAGCCATTAGGTAAACACGCCTGATGCTCTATAAAATATATATTTACATATACCATTGGGGTTAAATATATGTTAAATGGGTGCAAAGCTGTTATATTGCATTAAAAGTCATGTTAATACTTCCTTGTTAAAGGCTTTGTGAATGATTTCCTGCACATGAAACATAATACACCACACAGAATTACAGTGGGTCAGTGGTGATATTTGCCAGGAGGTCTGGCTAATGATTGGTATTTCTAGTTGCAGACATGCAGTTTGAGCTTTTCTGGACTTAAAGGAGGGTCACTGACTGCCCACTGAATGATGCCAGCAGCTCTGCCTCATTCTGTCGGCTTCATCCAGAGCTGGGACAGCTGCTCTCAGATGGATTGTACTTTTCTCTCCATAAAGGTCTGCAGCATTTGTTAGCAGTCCAGTAGCAGACCCAGCGGCAGGTCCAGGGTCAGGTCCAGTGTCAGGTCCAGCGGCAGGTCCAGGGGCAGGTCCAGGGGCAGGTCCAGTGTCAGGTCCAGCATCAGGTCCAGCGGCAGGTCCAGGGACAGGTCCAGGGGCAGGTCCAGGGGCAGGTCCAGCATCAGGTCCAGCATCAGGTCCAGCGGCAGGTCCAGCGGCAGGTCCAGGGGCAGGTCCAGGGACAGGTCCAGTGTGAGGTCCAGGGACAGGTCCAGCGGCAGGTCCAGCGTCAGGTCCAGGGACAGGTCCAGCGGCAGGTCCAGGGGCAGGTCCAGGGACAGGTCCAGCATCAGGTCCAGTGTCAGGTCCAGCGTCAGGTCCAGGGACAGGTCCAGGGACAGGTCCAAGGGCAGGTCCAGGGGCAGGTCCAGGGTCAGGTCCAGTGGCAGGTCCAGCGGCAGGTCCAGCGGCAGGTCCAGGGACAGGTCCAGGGGCAGGTCCAGGGGCAGGTCCAGGGACAGGTCCAGTGGCAGGTCCAGCGGCAGGTCCAGGGGCAGGTCCAGGGACAGGTCCAGCATCAGGTCCAGCGGCAGGTCCAGGGGCAGGTCCAGGGTCAAGTCCAGCGGCAGGTCCAGCATCAGGTCCAGGGAGAGGTCCAGCATCAGGTCAAGCGTCAGGTCCAGTGGCAGGTCCAGTGTCAGGTCCAGCGGCAGGTCCAGGGGCAGGTCCAGGGGCAGGTCCAGTGTCAGGTCCAGCATCAGGTCCAGCGGCAGGTCCAGGGACAGGTCCAGGGGCAGGTCCAGGGGCAGGTCCAGCATCAGGTCCAGCATCAGGTCCAGCGGCAGGTCCAGCGGCAGGTCCAGGGGCAGGTCCAGGGACAGGTCCAGTGTGAGGTCCAGGGACAGGTCTAGCGGCAGGTCCAGCGTCAGGTCCAGGGACAGGTCCAGCGGCAGGTCCAGGGGCAGGTCCAGGGACAGGTCCAGCATCAGGTCCAGCGTCAGGTCCAGGGACAGGTCCAGGGACAGGTCCAAGGGCAGGTCCAGGGGCAGGTCCAGGGTCAGGTCCAGTGGCAGGTCCAGCGGCAGGTCCAGCGGCAGGTCCAGGGACAGGTCCAGGGGCAGGTCCAGGGGCAGGTCCAGGGACAGGTCCAGTGGCAGGTCCAGGGGCAGGTCCAGGGACAGGTCCAGCATCAGGTCCAGCGGCAGGTCCAGGGGCAGGTCCAGGGTCAAGTCCAGCGGCAGGTCCAGCATCAGGTCCAGGGAGAGGTCCAGCATCAGGTCCAGCGTCAGGTCCAGTGGCAGGTCCAGTGGCAGGTCCAGCGGCAGGTCCGGGGGCAGGTCCAGTGTCAAGTCCAGTGGCAAGTCCAGCAGCATGTCCAGTGTCAGGTCCAGTGGCAGGTCCAGCCAACTTTCCACATGGCCCATGTGAAAATGTACCCACTCCCTTGCATTTTTTAAAGCAGTAGTTATTAGTAGAGCCTACTGCCATTTCTCCTTGAGTTCCTCACAGTGGATGTTAAGCATTTGCTTTATTAAAGCAAAGTTCCATGCTCTTTGTGCTAAGTCACCTCTGCCTTTCTGTGAGAGGCTAGAATTGGGATCGACCCTCAGCTGTGCCAGAGCCTTGGTACCTGTCTCAGTTCTGGAATCTACTCTGTCCTTGTTGCCTTCCATTCACCGACAGCCGTCTGTCTTCCTGTCACTCCTTCAACACGGAGTCCAGCAGTGTGCACACAGGTGAGCCTGTGTGGATGCTGGTTTCGTAGGATCTTATCGGGACCTCACTCATCTTTTCACTAGGAAATCAGACACTGCAAAGGACTTACAGAAAAGCCCAAAGAAGCCGTATTGATAGAATCATAGAGACAGAATTCTATAACCATAGGAAACGGCATTGATTATCATGAAATGTGCACTTACGTGTGGCATAGTAAAACATCACATTTGAATACCGCACTGGGTAAGAGCTTGGAAAAGAGATTATGAAAGTATAACTGGCTCTGCTCTTATGTAGTGGGACATGGTAAAGCGATGCCTGATACTGTATAGAATGGAACAAACAGGATAGAATTATACAGAGTAGTGCAGAATAGAACAAATAGTAGAGTGTTCGATAAGGTAGCATAGAGTAGAAGAAACAGTGTAACATATAGTATAGTATACAATAGGAGAAATGGTATAGCGTTATATAGGGTAGCATAGAAGGAACAGTGTAACATTATATAGTATAGTGTACAATAGGACAAATAGTATAGCGTTATATAGGGTAACATAGAATAGAAGAAACAGTGTAACTTATAGTATAGTGTACAATAGGACAAATAGAGTGTTCTATAGGGTAGCATAGAATAGATGAAACAGTGTAACATTATATATATAGTATACAATAGGACAAATAGAGTGTTCTATAGGGTAGCATAGAAGAAACAGTGTAACATTATATAGTATAGTGTACAATAGGACAAATAGTATAGCGTTATATAGGGTAGCGTAGAACAGAAGAAATAGTGTAACATATAGTATAGTATACAATAGGACAAATAGTAGAGTGTTCTATAGGGTAACATAGAATAGAAGAAACTGTAACATTATATAGTATAGTATACAATGGGACAAATAGTAGAGTGTTCTATAGGGTAGCATAGAATAGAAGAAACAGTGTAACATTATATAGTATAGTATACAATAGGACAAGTAGTATTACATAGTCTAGAATAGAACAAGTGGGATAGTATTGTAGAGTATACAGTTGAACTAACAACGTAGTATTGCATAGCATAATGTAGTCTAGATTAGAACACACAGCATGGTATTAATATTACATAGCATGGTGTGCAGTAGTAGAGTCGCAAAGCACAGAACAGAGAGGACAGTGACTATTACATAGCATAGTGTGGAATAGCAGAGTCGCATAGCACAGAACAGAGAGGACAGTGAGTATTACGTAGCGTAGTGTGGAATAGTAGAGTCACATAGCACAGAACAGAGATGGCAGTGACTATTACATAGCGTAGTGTGGAATAGTAGAGTCGCATAGCACAGAACAGAGAGGACAGTGTTCTGTAGCACTGCTGCAGGATTTTTGCTCTTTAGCTCAGCTGGGTCCGGGTTCTTGTCTCACAACCAGGAAGAAACAGACACATGGACATCGAAGACTGAGTGCAGTAGAATTTATTAAGCGAAAAGGAAAGGTCTCAGCAAAAAGAGGGGTCCTGAGAGCAGGTTGCTGGTTGCCCCCTTCCCAGTTGACTACAAGGGCTTTTACATAGAAGCTGATGGGGCTGGGCTCCCTGTTTGCATAAGGAGCGAATTTCTGGTGGCTCCACCCCATTCCCCCATGTGTATGGGGACCCTCAGTCTACTGTGAGCATGTTTAGGCAAGCCCCCTGAGCAAGTTCCCCTATCTGCACAAAACATGGGCTGGAGGCTGTCTGGGACCCTTCGCTTACTGTCTGCCTAAAGCAAGCTGGCTAACTCCTTTCAGTATAGAAGAAAATAGTATAGAATAGAACAGATAGTACAGTATTATATAGTGTAGAATGAAACAGTATAATATTGTATCGTAGAGAATGGAATAGTATAGAATAGAACAAACCGATCATAGTAGTGTAGTATAGAATAGTAGCCTCGCGCAGCATGGGGCAGTGTTGTGCTCCATACTACAGAGTATAACCACCAGGAGAGCGTTCTTCAGTGGGGCGTTACTGGCCCTTCATATTTCTTTAGTTCTATGAAAATGAGGACAGGGAGATAAGAGGGGGAGGAGGTTGGCTTTCTTACTTTTAAGGCACTCATTACTTCCTGGGGATCATTTGATGGTCCTCTTTGGTAGTGTTCTGTGAAGCAGTCTGTATACTCTGTGTAGGATGAAATGAGATGTTTTCTGTAAACAGTTGTCTCATGCCTGGCACATGGCAGAGCCTCCGTGGATCTTGCTGTTGTGAATACACTGATGACGTCTCTACAGTGCCCTCCACGCTATAAATACTGTGCATTGTAGGAAGTCCGGGCCTTTTCAAAGGCTGGGTTTCATTTTAACAAAATTGGAAAGCCGTGCATATTTGGAATGGCCAGATCATCCTGCACCTAAATGACTTCACCTGTCCAGCTGGGTACAGAAACGGGCTTCTGTCTTTTGTCCCATTCTTTCATCTGGCAGTCTCTTCTGAGAAACCTTGACTTTGTTGTCAGAAAAACACTGATTAGCATGAGATCAGATAGCAGCTGTGAAGAATGAAAGCGTCACTACCAATCTCCGGCAGCGTCTGATAAGGAGAAATGCACCTCCCTGCGTGCTGCCAAGGTTTATGGAGCAGAATTCCCTGACGCCACTGCCCTCACTGCCTGTGCGTGCATCTGCTGTGGGGTCATTTCCTTATTGGACTTGGCTGGGGACCTCCTGAGGGGTGGATGGGTCAGGACTGGGTAATTTGGGGAAGGTATTCGTGGTGTTCCTGTTTGCAGTCTGTGTCCCAGTTGGAAGAGATGCTTTTAGTGCATCCATTAATCCAGACATGATTAGCAAGGGTGTCTCTCCCAGGTAAGAGTTGGTGCGTCTCTTCTGAGTGTCTTTCTCAAGTCTGTTACAAAGAGAACTTTGGTTTCTCAAGGTTTAAGAATTAATGTCAAAGAGCAATTTAGTGTTCGAGTCACCAGCCTTGCTGTGGATGATTGCTGAGTCCTCGGAGGTTAGGGCCACAGCACAATTGGTGGGCCGTCTGTTCCCCACCCTGGTGGAGACTTTCTCACCCAAAGAAATGTATTCTGTTAGTATGTCTCAATTAGAATATTTTAGTAGGAGACAGTTATGGCTCTTGTTTTAATTTGTAGTGGATGATTACTGTAGCAGGATCAAGGTTGAGACTTGCAGCGTAGCTCATGTAAAGCATTGATTTTAAACACCCAAAATATATTGCCAGCTTCGTTGCCGTGGCTCCAAGGGACTAGGAATGCATATGTTGTTTTTTGTTATTATTTTTTATTTTTATTTTTGAAACAAGAGTCTCGCTCTGTCACCCCGGCTGGAGTGCAGTGGTGTGATCTCAGCTCACTGCAACCTCCACTTCCAGGGTTCAAGCAGTTCTTGTGTCTCAGCCTCCCGAGTAGCTGGGATTACAGGCACCCGCCACCATGCCCAGCTAATTTTGTATTTTTAGTAGAGACGGGGTCTCACTGTGTTGGCCAGGCTGGTCTCAAACTCCTGACCTCAAGTGATCTGCCCACCTTGGCCTCCCAAAGTGCTGGCATTATAGGCATGAGCCACTGTGCCTGGCTGCCATGACCATTTTAAATGTGGCATTGAATATCTGCTTTTTTTTTTTTTAAGGCAGTACAGACGTCACCCCTCACACCTCTGTTCTGGGGCTGGTCTGGGCTGGCCAGGAGGGCTTCCAGGCTCGAGGCCGCGTCTGAAGTGTTGTTGGACAATGTGGAGCTGTGACCCCTTGGTCTTTGGGGACGTGGGGCACCTTGAGATGCCCACAGTCTTGCGAGGGTTTATGGCTCAGTGTGTGGCTGCTGCGAGGTAGCTGTGGGCGGGGAGGAAGGAGAGCAGGGTCCATCTGTCCTGGTGTGGAAAATGCCCAAGAAAGTCAAGAAATGGTACAAAAAATCATCATCTGCCCTGGTGCCATTTCTGTTTAAAAAAAAAAAAATCACTCTGCGTGCGGTTCTGTGCTTGAGGAGGATAGAAAATACCTAGAAAGACGCACAAAGTGTTCTCATGGGGTCAGCACCGGGAAGTGGGATGGGAGGCTTGGGAGTGTGTGGAAAGGAGGACATGGTGTTATTTTGTTCTGTTTTATTTGGTAGAGCAAGTGATCAAAGTGAAGCTTGAGTGATTGGCGCAGCTTGGCCTGGCCATGGGTAGATCCCAGCATGTCCCGCCTCCCACTGCAGCTCCGTTTCTCGGTCACGGATGAGACAGGTGGCCTGAGGCTGTGGGCGGAGGAGGGGCAGCCCGGTGTCCCCAGCAGGTGATTGTCCAGGCTATTCTTGGGCCAGCCTGAGGGAAGGGGTGGAGGAGAGCTGGGAGGGTGCACAGTGCGCCCCCCCGCCACCCCACCCCGGGACTGGAACTCAGTTCTCAGCCTCGGGCTGGGAGGTGAGCCCAGGCTGCTGTCGATGGAGGAAGATGCCGAGGAAGATGCCCTCAGGATGGAGGAAGATGCCAGTGGAGTTTGGTCAGCAGCCAGCGTGGTCTTTCCCGCAGGGGATACGCAGTGCGCCCACTTGCAGGAAAAACGCTGCTTTAGTTTTTGAATTTTGCTCATTCTGTTTATCGTGCTGCTCATGCTAAGATTTGGATATCGTTGGTAGGAATCAGTGTCAATTGCATACAGTTGACTCTTGTACCACACAAGCTTGAGCTTTGTGGGTCAACTTATATGTGAATTTTTTCAACCAAACTCAGGGAGAAAATACAGTGTTCCTGCCATGTGAAACGTGTGTCGGAGGGCCGACTCTGTACACGCAGGTTCGGCAGGTCCACTTGTGGGGCGTGAGTGTGCCTGGATTTGGTGTCCATGGGGTCCTGGAACCGACTCCCTGAGTACAGCGAGGCCGTTTGCAGTAGCAGGTGGTTTCTTTTGTAGTTTCCCCATTGGTTTCGCCCCACACCATCTCTCTCATGCCGCAGCTGCTGCTGATGATGACTGATGACCTGGGTGGGCGATGCCAGGCCCCCTCTCAGCTCAGGCCACTTCCTTGGAGAGACTCCTGTGCTAAGGGCACCATTTAGCAAAAGTCCAGATTTTGGGATACGGAAAATTTGGGGGACGTGAATTCACTCAAATAAATGTTCAAAGTTGGCCTCAGAGCCTTGCGTTCTTGTTTTATAAAAGATGCACCTTTTGGGGGAAATACTGCTTAACAACATTTAACTGGAAAGGCACTGAAACAAAGTTAAGCTTTTTTTGCATAATACCTTCACGTGGATACGGATTTTCATATAATTGTAATTGTTACTCATACATTCTACTAAGTCTTCTGCTATTTTTACTTAACGACTTAACATACTTGTTCATTCAGTCACGAGTTTGGTTGTTCCACAGTTTGCTGGGGCCTCCCTGGGACCTGAGCACAGTGCTGGGGATGCAAAAGTAGGTGGTTCCTGATGGGATCGTGTCCACGTTGGTGGCTCTGCTTGTAAGGAGTCCACGTTGGTGGGGGAGGCCGACTGGTGACCGGAACCCACGCTGTGACGCCATCATTGGTGTGATGCAGGTGAGGACAGGGTCTGTAGATATGCGTGGAGGACGGTGGTCCCAGACCTGGGCAGGTGGAGGTGCCCCTGAGGCCCCCAGTGGACATTGACTGAGTGTGGCGAGAGCTGGCCAGGAGAGAGTTTGGGAGGTGTGGGAGAGACAAGAGCAGGAGGGGTGGCAGGGGCTAGGATGGAAAGGGGCTTCTGCAGAAACGGGGGCTGGGGCCTGAGCCCTGGCACCGGGAGAGATGGAGAGAGGGCAGTGCCGGCTTTGGAAGAGAAACAGCCAGAGCTGTGTAGCCTCGGGGTCCTGCATGGACACACCCTCAGCTTCCCCCGTGAGGCCCACGAATCCCAGGGGGAGTTTGTGTTATGCCACGGACCTCTCACAAGTGGGGGCTGAGGCAGAACTGAGGACATCTGGGTTCCATGGTGGATCAGCCAGGATTCTGGTTGCAAATTACAGAAAACAACTTAAACTTATGCAGGGAAGTGAGCATGAGGGGGGGTCGGCCCAGAGCACTCTGGCCAGAAGCCATCTGGGCTCTAAGGCTGGGAGGCCCCTTGCCAGCTCACGTGCTGTGGAATGGCTTCCCCGCCTCCGGCCCTCGGCAGGTGGAAGGTGCTGCCTGGCAGCCCCTGCAAACTGAAGGGGCCCACGTCCCTCCTGGCTCTGCATCCCATTCTCAGGGACACGGCTGTCATGGGGGGACCAGCTGGGGCAGGGGAAGAGTATAGGGAACCCAGTAGAAGTGGCCGTGGACTCTCTTAGGAACGATAACCGGGTCACCTACCATAGATGAAGATGTTGTCGGCCTGCGTTCTTCTCGTGTTGGTCTGGGGCGTGTGGCTGCCGTGGGCTGGCGTTATCCACAGCCCCGGTCTGGGGCTTGCAGTGGCTGTGGGCTGGCGTGGTCCACAGCCCCGGGCACCATGGTCCCTGGCCCTGAAATCGCATCCAGTGCTGTGTCACCTCGGGCCAGCTGTCTCCTGAGGGGAAGGGAACAGGGAACAGCCCTCCCCGTGTGGCCTCCCCAGCACCACCCACCCCGCAGGACCTCCAGTGTTGACTCTGCTGGGGTCTTCTCTCTCCTGGGGGGTCCTTGTCCCAACGGGAGGACTCCATGGGCCGCAGGAGGTGTCAAGCTATTTTCTCTCCTGGAACTGGGTTGCTGGCAGCTCCCAGATGCAGGAGGAAAGGCTCAGAATTGCCTTCCTAATAAGGAATTGTTGATGTGAACTTTGGACGGCAAACACTGCTTACATTTCCTTTTCCGTTTTGATGTGTTAATGGTGTGCGGCAACGCCGTGACGCACGGGGACGCAGGTGACGGGCACCCCCCCACAAGGGGACCATGCACCTGTTTGATAATAAGGCATGCTTCTCTTACTGCAAATAAAAACTTCAATGGTTTTCTGCCAGAAAGACCCTGTCTTTTATGTAGGATACATAGAGGATCATTTGGCAAGTGATTGGGGATTTTGGGTTAAACTAAAAATAAATTAATTTCATTTTATAGCACTCTGAACACATTTGAGTTAATTATTCATCGAGAATTTGAATAGCACACACTGTTCTGACTTCCGACTTCCCCCAATGAATGGCATTTGCTGTAACGTGACAAAACCCTGAGTCTTAGAATTATTGGGTAATGTGAAAAAAGGAAAAGTTGGTTCTCTGTTGTTTTGCTTTAAGGAAATTATATTATTTTACAGTCACTTAGTTTTCTCCTTTCCAATAAGAAAAATTGCTTTCTTACTACCTGAAAATTCGTGAAGGTCAAGGGGACACACCCTGCAGTGCATTAAAAGCCACCATCAAATGTGGACCTGGACTCAGTTTCCCTCTGTTCCCTCCCACCCTCAAATGTGGACGTGGACTCAGTTTCCCTGTTCTCTCCCACCATCCAATGTGGACGTGGACTCAGTTTCCCTCTGTTCTCTCCCACCCTCAAATGTTGACGTGGACTCAGTTTTCCTCTGTTCTCGCCCACCATCAAATGTGGACGTGGACTCAGTTTCCCTCTGTTCTCTCCCACCGTCAAATGTGGACGTGGACTCAGTTTCCCTCTGTTCTCGCCCACCGTCCACTGTGGACGTGGACTAAGTTTCGCTCTGTTCTCTCCCACCGTCCAATGTGGACGTGGACTCAGTTTCCCTATGTTCTCTCCCACCATCCAATGTGGACGTGGACTCAGTTTCCCTCTGTTCTCACCCACCCTCAAATGTGGATGTGGGCTCAGTTTCCCTCTGTTGTCTCCCACCATCAAATGTGGACGTGGACTCAGTTTGCCTCTGTTCTCTCCCACCATCCAATGTGGACGTGGACTCAGTTTCCCTCTGTTCTCTCCCACCCTCAAATGTTGACGTGGACTCAGTTTTCCTCTGTTCTCGCCCACCGTCAAATGTGGACGTGGACTCAGTTTCCCTCTGTTCTCTCCCACCGTCAAATGTGGACGTGGACTCAGTTTCCCTCTGTTCTCGCCCACTGTCCACTGTGGACGTGGACTCAGTTTCGCTCTGTTCTCTCCTACCGTCCAATGTGGACGTGGACTCAGTTTCCCTATGTTCTCTCCCACCATCCAATGTGGACGTGGACTCAGTTTCCCTCTGTTCTCACCCACCCTCAAATGTGGACGTGGACTCAGTTTCCCTCTGTTCTTGCCCACCCTCAAATGTGGACGTGGACTCAGTTTCCCTCTGTTCTCGCCCACCATCCAATGTGGATGTGGGCTCAGTTTCCCTCTGTTCTCTCCCACCATCAAATGTGGACGTGGACTCAGTTTGCCTCTGTTCTCTCCCACTGTGAAATGTGGACGTGGACTCAGTTTCCTTCTGGTCTCGCCCACCATCCAGTGTGGACGTGGACTCAGTTTTGCTCTGTTCTCTCCCACCATCCAATGTGGACGTGGACTCAGTTTTGCTCTGTTCTCTCCCACCATCCAATGTGGATGTGGACTCAGTTTCCCTTTGTTCTCGCCCACCGTCCAATGTGGACTTGGACTGTTTCCCTCTGTTCTCGCCCACTGTCCAATGTGGACGTGGACTCAGTTTCCCTCTGTTCTTGCCCACTGTCCAATGTGGACGTGGACTCAGTTTCCTTCTGTTCTCGCCCACCGTCCAATGTGGACGTGGACTGTTTCCATCTGTTCTCGCCCACCGTCCAATGTGGACGTGGACTCAGTTTCCCTCTGTTCTCTCCCACCGTCAAATGTGGACGTGGACTCAGTTTCCCTCTGTTCTCTCCCACCGTCCAATGTGGATGTGGACTCAGTTTCCCTCTGTTCTCTCCCGCCATCAAATGTGGACGTGGATTCAGTTTCCCTCTGTTCTCTCCCACCATCCAATGTCGACGTGGACTCAGTTTCCCTCTGTTCTCTCCCACCGTCAAATGTGGACGTGGACTCAGTTTCCCTCTGTTCTCTCCCACCATCCAATGTGGACGTGGACTCAGTTTTGCTCTGTTCTCTCCCACCATCCAATGTGGACGTGGACTCAGTTTCCCTCTGTTCTCTCCCACCATCCAGTGTGGACGTGGGCTCAGTTTCCCTCTGTTCTCTCCCACCATCCAATGTGGACGTGGATTCAGTTTCCCTCTGTTCTCTCCCACCATCCAATGTCGACGTGGACTCAGTTTCCCTCTGTTCTCTCCCACCGTCAAATGTGGACGTGGACTCAGTTTCCCTCTGTTCTCTCCCACCATCCAATGTGGACGTGGACTCAGTTTCCCTGTTCTCGCCCACCGTCCAATGTGGACGTGGACTCAGTTTCCTTCTGTTCTCGCCCACCATCCAATGTGGATGTGGACTCAATTTCGCTCTGTTCTCTCCCACCATCCAATGTGGACGTGGACTCAGTTTCCCTCTGTTCTCTCCCGCCGTCCAATGTGGACGTGGACTCAGTTTCCCTCTGTTCTCTCCCGCCGTCCAATGTGGACGTGGACTCAGTTTCCCTCTGTTCTCTCCCACCGTCCAATGTGGACGTGGACTCAGTTTCCCTCTGTTCTCTCCCACTGTGAAATGTGGACGTGGACTCAGTTTCCCTCTGTTCTCTCCCACCGTCCAATGTGGATGTGGACTCAGTTTTCCTCTGTTCTCTCCCACCGTCAAATGTGGACGTGGACTCAGTTTCCCTCTGTTCTCTCCCACCGTCAAATGTGGACGTGGACTCAGTTTCCCTCTGTTCTCTCCTACTGTCAAATGTGGACATGGACTCAGTTTCCCTCTGTTCTCGCCCAGCTTGCCACCATGGCTCATTTCACTTTCACTCAGGAAAGGAAGAAACATTGTTTTTAATAGGTATGAAGGCAGTTGTTTTTAACCTAAGGAACAGAACATAATTCTAGCAATGGAAATTACCAACCGAGTCTGTGTGAGGTTTGGAAGAAAAAAAGGATTTTCACTTCCACACTCTGTGTGTGCCCACCTCCCCCAGTTGAGAGTCACAGATTTAATTACTTTAATTTTGAGCTTAAAATAATTTGACAGCCTAACAAAAACTACTACAGTCCTATAAAATTCTGCTTGTGTGTTTGGTTTTTCAGTTGCTTGGCTTAATATGGTGAATGAATGCATTATGAGTTGTTATTTTAGTAATTGCTATAAAAATTAATGTACGTTATAGCCAAGTGTTATAAAATTAATTTAACAGCAAAGTAAAACTAAAGCTGCATTGATTTCTCACTGTACTTGTGCTTAAAGACGGCTCCATGAGGCAGGCCCTGTGATCCTGCAGGCCGGCAGGAGCAGGTGCTACCTGGCTGGTGCGGTCGCCACCCGTCCCCTCTTGCTGCCAGGCAGCTTTGCAGTTTCCAGGCTATGGGGGAGTCGAGGCGGGTGGTCAGTAAGAGACAGTGGGGAGTTGGGTGGTGCAGGTTGGCGTGGGGTGGAAGGAGGCGTGGAGTGTGGGTGTGGAGAGCCTGGGGGAGGCTGGACAGCAGCTCCAGTACCTGCACAGGGGGACAGGGTGCGGGGGGCACGGGGCAGTGAGTCGCTCCTGGAAACAGCCCTTGGGGTTTTTATAGATGGGCCTGTCGTCAGCTCTGCACCACATTCCTGCTGGGGCTGGGTGGAGAGTGGAGGCCTCGAGCATGCGTTTCTCCAGGTGAGGGCCCAGCTGACACAGCCAGTGTTTCCTGGAGGCCCCTCACCTGGGAACGTGCCCCTGCTCTTCTCAGAACAAAATAAATCTTAAACTCTACACATCACCTTTCCAGAAAGTGTTTAAGTCTGTGTGCCTGTTAACTCACCTAAATTTAAAGAGTAATGATACAATATGCTTCTTTTTAGGGGAGAAAACTTAGCTGATTTAAAAGATAAAATCAGAGGTCGGGGGACGCAGCATTTTGGGGGAGACAGGGTTTATGTCCTAGTGGTCAGCAGTGTTTCCTGAACTATTGTGTTTGCTCTATTATTACATTACAGAAGTGACACGTCAAACCTAGGGAAATAGGCAAAATAGCCCCCCCCATTCAGAGATAAACGTTATCAACATATTCATGCACTTCCTTCTGTTTTTGCTGTTTGCTTTTTAAGACCACGTTCATAGGATGGGTATATAATTGTTTACAGTGACTTTAAAAGCACCTTTCTTGTTAAAAAGAGTATTTTTTCATTCTGGAAAATTTAGACAACATGTTTTGTTTAAAAATTACTTATAATACCACCATCAAGTCATCAATGTTTTTATACATTCTCTTGGTCTCTTTATGGACTTAATATATACAATTTAACAGATGGGAAATAACATAATTTTATGAGTAAAATGTTTCTTGGCGTTAGAGATGGAGCAGAGAGGAGGCACAGGGCTTCCTGCTGGCTGAGGTGTGTGGCCAGGGTGTGACCAGTGGCCTCCCAAGTTTAGGGTCTGCATGGAGAAGGATTTCTAAATCACCTTACACCACACCCCCTGCAGCCGTGTGCCACTTTGATAAGGGGGTGTACTCTGATAGACTTTTCAAGACAAGACTCTGCTGGATCTGAGGCTGTTTTGGCTGCTTCTGGAGACTCAGCTCTGGAACGTTCATGCCAGCTCTCCCTCAAGACCCCACGGATGCCATGTCCTCATCTTTTGGAATCCAGTGTTGTAGAGGAGAAGTCTGAGGCCAGTTTGATTTTTGCTTCATGGTAGGAAACTGATGTTTTCAGGCTTTTCCCCTTTATTTCCATGATGAAGATGATGTCCCACCTCATCCGGAGGGGTCTTTCTTGTCTTGTCGGGAACATCCAGCTTTTAGGTGCCTCTTCAGGTCCTCAGTCCCTTTCTCACCTTCCTCACAGTCCTCCCCATCTCATCCATCTTCACTGTAATTCGGTTATTTTTTCATTTTTATGCTCACTTTCCCATGCGACTTTTGTTCTTGTTTCACAGATGCTGGTGCTAAATTGTATGTCTGAGGCCCAGGGGCCGTGTTTCATTCTGTCTGCCTCTGCATGTACTTTTGAGAAGTAGGGGCAGGGTTGCCCCCTAGATGCTGTTTCAGCTGGACCTGCCCAGGCTCCCTGAAGTGGGGGCATTGGGCAGAGCCCATGTGGCTCTATGGTGGGCCGTGTTGCTGAACCCTACGTCTGAGATTTGGGGGCCGTGTTTCATTCTGTCTGCCTCTGTGTGTACTTTTGAGAAGTGGGGGTGGGGGTTGCCCCCGGACGTTGTTTCAGCTGCACCTGCCCAGACTCCCTGAAGTGGGGGCGTCAGGCAGAACCCGTGTGGCTCTACGGCGGGCCGTGTTGCTGACAGAGCAAGAAGCCGCGCTCCCAGGACGCGCCTGCAGCTGTGGGCAAGTCTGGGATTGTGATGGGATCGTTTCCTTCTCTAAAATACGTCTCAACTATTATCCAGAGGGTTGGCTGTAGGCTTTCAACAGCTTCACTCTTCTTAGTGACCAGGAGACAATTCACTAAACAGAGTTGCTGTCAGGGTTTAATTAGTCAGGAGTTTCTGCCAGAGGCTGGCGGGACAGCTCCCTCTGCAAGCCTCCTGCAGCCTCCCCATCCCCACTCTTGGGCCCGGCCACCTGCCTTGGTCTGCAGAAGGTGCACATTCTCTGTTCTCCTGAGGGGCTCCTGGACTTCAGGACAGCCTTGGCAAGCTGATGTGTAACTCCCAGTCTCTTCTCTTTTTTAGTAAGGAATACGCTCACGGAATCCTGACCTTCTAGATTGTTTCATCTTTTTAAAACAGCCGCAGCTTCCTAAGCCACCTTGTGTCTGAGTGTGAATCACTTATTATTTTTCACTGCAGAATGAACAGAACTGGAATCATAGGATTTAGAGGGTGATAAAAAGACAGAGGTTAGGATATTCTATTTTCTCACCTCTTCCATACACTTTTTCCTTAAATACACCCTCATACGTCTGTGAAGTTCTTCCCAATTCTGTAACTTCACTCCACCCTCAGGTGGAACATTTGTGAACAGTAACAAGTATTGATGTGTGCAACTCTGCAACCCAGCTGGAATTAATGCTTTTTATTTATCAATGGATGGTCATTGGATGGCCAGAGGGATTCCCTGTGCATTGTGGGGGCCCAGTGCCTGCTTGTGAGTGACATGGACATAACGAGGGTTAGGGAATCTCAGCCTCTGTGATTCGAGTAGTGACATCAAGGCAGGTGGATGACTCTTTGAGCTTGGCATGCTCCTGGGTGGCACAGCACAGGTGACGTGGACTGGGGCAAGGGCTTGTTCCACGGGCTTCTGTGTTGTTTTTTGTTTTTGTTTTTTTTTGAGATGGAGTCTCACTCTGTCACCCAGGCTGGAGTGCAGTGGTGCGATCTCAGTTCACTGCAGGCTCCGCCTCCCGGGTTCGTGCCATTCTCCTGCCTCAGCCTCCCCAGTAGCTGGGACTATAGGTACCCGCCACCACGCCTGGCTAATTTTTTTGTATTTTTAGTAGAGACGGGGTTTTACCGTGTTAGCCAGGATGGTCTCGATCTCTGACATCATGATCCACCCGCCTTGGCCTCCCAAAGTGCTGGGATTACAGGCCTGAGCCACCGTGCCCGGCCTGTTTTTTTTTTTTTGAGACGGAGTCTCACTCTGTTGCCCAGGCTGGAGTGCAGTGGCGCGATCTTGGGTCACTGCAACCTCCACTCACTGCAATCTCTGCCTCCCGGTTCAAGCCGTTGTCCTGCCTCAGCCCCCAAGTAGCTGGGATTACAGACATGTGCCACCATGCCTGGCTGATTTTTGTATTTTTAGTAGAGACGGGATTTTGCCATGTTGGTCTGGCTGGTCTTAAACTGTTGGCCTCAAGTGATCTGCCCACCTTGGCCTCCCAAAGTGCTGAGATTACAGGTGTGGGCCACCGTGCCCGGCCCTGTGTTTGATTCTTAAATCTTCTTTTTCTTTTTAATCTTTCTCTTTCTGGAGGACCACTCAGTGGATATGAGGAAGAGTTCACAGATGTCCATATTACATTCCTTTCTTAAATTAGCCTCCCTTGAACACTGCTGTAGGGTACAGACGCATGAAGGGCTGAAAGGGTGGTTGTGTCCCAGTAAGTGTGAGAGTGGAGCTGGTCTGTGAGACCCCGGTGCCGGTGAGGGCACCCGTGTGCGATGGCCTGGGACGGGGGTGTGCGGAGCCCTGACCGTGGCACACGCCCTTCAGCTTTGATGTTTCAGGCCCTTGCTCTGGTCATCAGTGAGCAGAAGGTCTAACAGCAGTGATATTTATCACTAGTTGTGTTGGCCAATGTGTTAGGAGGGTGAAGCTGTTTGACTTAAGCTGCTTGATTGGTTTGCATTTAAATAGACACCTGGTGGCCTGGTGCCTGGACACTTGCTCTGTGACCTGCCCCGTGTGGCTCCTCCCTCTGGCATGCATTAGATGAGATGGGCGTGTTTAGGGCGATGTGGCCCTAGACTGGAATGCATTCGAAGTGCAAACCCTGCCCCACCCCAGACCTGCCCCACCCCAGTGTGACGTTAGGAGGCGGAGGCCCAGCATCCTTCACCTGCCCTCCAGGTGGGTCTGAGGATGCTGAGGTTTCAGAGCACTGCTTTGCTAGCACACCAGCGAGTCCTGCTTAAAGAGGCCAGGATCTGAAAGGGCAGGTTACCAAATTGTGTAGCAGAAAAATAGAAATGTTTCCTTAGAAGGGGTGTAGGAAGGAAAATAATTTCCTTCATCATATCTGGAAAAGATTTCAAATTAGTAGGCACTATTTGGAATTATTAGTGGTCTCCTGTATTTCTTTCTTTCTTTCCTTTTTTTGATACAGGGTCTCGCCCTGTTGCCCAGGCTGGAGTGCAGTGGTGCAATCTTGGCTCCCTGCAACCTCTGCCTCCTGGGCTCAGGTGATCCTCCCACCTCAGCCCCCTGAGTAGCTGGGACTACAGGCGCGCTACCACACCTGGCTCATTTTTGTATTTTTTTTTGTAGAGATGGGGTCTTGCTATGTTGCCCAGGCTGGTCTCGAATTCCAGCATTTCTTCTGCCTCAGCCCCCCAAAATGCTTCTGTACCCCTGCCCCAACAAGGAAGGACAAGAGGTGTGAGCCACACACACGCCTGGCCTCCTGTCTTTCCTTGTTGGAGCAGGGATGTAGAAGCACTTGCCGCAGCCGACTTGAGTACATCTGACTTTACTTAGCTTTCCTCATGGGTAGCCTGGCAGTGCTGTGCACCAGTGCTGCTGGCCAGCTGTTTTTTCAATGTACTGGCAGAAAATCAAGCTGACACCCGGGTTCCTTTCTCCCTGGGTACTGACCAGGTGGGAGAGGAGGGGCGTTGTGTGAGTATCATCTTCATGAGGGCTGGTGGGGGAACATCAGCTTTAAGGTGCCTGGGATCTAAGGCATGGAACCCAGCAGTGCAGAGGAACGTAGGGGATGTAGCCTCGGGAGCAGAGATGTGCGGGCCGGTGCCCTCGTTCCTGGCGGGGTCTGAGTGCAGGAATAGGTTGGTGACCCAGCCGAGGTCACAAGACCTGCCTGGATGCATGGCTGGCGTCCGTGCTGGCCCCAAAACTGCCCATTTGGGGATTCCCCTCAGTCACAGACTCACCTAGGGGTCCGGAGAGCGTCCCCACTATGACCTCAAAGAACGAGGTGTTGCCTTGAGATCTTCCAAGGTGAGGGTAGGATTTTTTTTTTTTTGCAATTAGCAATAATTTGTTGTGAATGATCTTGGACCTATTTTCCACTTCTTTGTATAGGAAGAGAGACAGAATAAAAAGTCTCAATGTGCCAGATGCCATGTAATGAAGCCATGGGGTTAACGTTGTTGATTATTACGTAGCATCACGTTAATTGGAACATATTCACACGTGTCCACAGCGTGTGCGTGTGCCCAGTCCGATGAGCACGTTGGGTTAGGGTCGCTGCTGGTTCATGCAGCCCCTCTGGGTGGGGCTGTCTCTGTGGCTTGGCCAACACCCTTGCTGCTGCCACTGTTGGAGTCTCCAGCCTTGACCGGCCTTGCTGCCCCCAGGTTCTCGGAGCCTGCGCACCCTCTTCCCGGCGCCCACCCTCTTCCCGGCGCCCACCCTCTTCCCGGCGCCCACCCTCTTCCCCGCGCGCAGCCTCTTCCCCGCGCGCAGCCTCTTCCCCGCGCGCACCCTCATCCCCGCGCGCACCCTCTTCCCCGCGCGCACCCTCATCCCCGCGCGCAGCTTCTTCCCCGCGCGCACCCTCGTCCCGGCACGCACCCTCGTCCCCCGTCGCGTCTACCCGGGGTCTGTCGTGTGTTTCTACTCTGGCCATGCCCGCCTCTTGCTGTGAGCTAAGTTTATTGAGGTGCAGTAAGAAACCAACAGAGGGGAGCAGAGTCCGAGGCTGTCAGGGCGCAAGGGAGCCTTGGGCATCTCTTCCCCAGCTCTGGCGACCCACCCTTCGGGTTGAAGTGCAGGGGAGAGGTGAGTTCTAAAGGTAAGGCTGCGGTGATTTCCTGAGCCTTAATTATCTAACACTTGGCCATCTGCCGTGTGACCCCATCGAAGGGCACCTCTGGGGACAAAGCAAAGCCCTTGGTGGCCGTGGGCGGGGCGGCCGTGCCTGTCTGTGTGTCCTGCACCGGGAGCCCCGCCAGCCGTGGGGACGTTCAGGCACTTGCCACCTGTGGGAGGTGTGTGTTAGCCGCGTGGTAGGTGCGGATGCGTGGAGGGACAGGCACAGGCCCACAGGCGTGGCGGGTATGGGAGATTTAGCCGCGTGGAGATGCGTGGAGGGACATGCACAGGCCCACATGCGTGGCGGGTGTGGGAGATTTAGCCGCGTGGGGATGCGTGGAGGGACATGCACAGGCCCACAGGCGTGGCGGGTGTGGGAGAAAGCGCGCAGAGTGCCCAGCAGATGCCGCGTGGTCAGCGGAAGCCTTGGATACAGGCCGGGCGGGGGAGGGACATCTGGAAATACGCTTTAAGCAGCATCAATGGATAATGCTGTGATTTTCCTTCTTTTCGTGGTCCAAAACACGTTCTAGTGATGTCGCTGATTTGTGTGTACCTGGGACAAGGAACTAAATATATTAGGGCCTTGATGTAATCTGTAAAACAGGCACAATATGCCTATTTCAAAGAGGCAGTGGACATGAAAGACTGCTCTAAACTATTCAGTGCAATGAGAATGCTTCGTTGTCATTAGCAAAGTAAAATGCCTCCAAGGCGAGCTTGCCATGCGTTTAATGACCTTGGACGTGAGCTTCCTAAACCTGCCAGAAAGTGCTTCCAGCGTGGCTTCATGCAGTGGCTTCAGTGGAGAATGTGCATATGCGGCTGATACTGAGAGCCGGGCAGCACCCTGACAGCCTGACACATCCCCATGTGTGGACCGTGAGCCGGGCAGCACCCTCCCAACCTGACGCGTCCCCATGTGTGGACCGTGAGCCGGACAGCACTCTCCCGACCTGACACATCCCCATGTGTGGACCGTGAGCCGGGCAGCACCCTCCCGACCTGACACATCCCCACGTGTGGACCGTGAGCCGGGCAGCACCCTCCCGACCTGACGCGTCCCCACGTGTGGACCGTGAGCCGGGCAGCACCCCCCGACCTGACGCGTCCCCATGTGTGGACCGTGAGCCGGGCAGCACCCTGATGGCCTGACGCGTCCACATGTGTGGACCGGGAGCCGGGCAGCACCCTCCCGACCTGACGCGTCCCCATGTGTGGACTGTGAGCCGGGCAGCATCCTCCCGACCTGACGGGTCCCCTTGTGCCCATTGTGGGACCTCCATCATGCAGGCAGGTGACATGCATCAAACTGAATGCAAGGAGGAGGGTCCAGGATTGTGTGCGGGCTCCGTGTCTCGTCCTTCTGAGGCCTTCTGGGAAGCCAGGAGGGCAGTGGGGTCTTTTGTGTGTTTCCTCCTGGTGGCCGTGGGTTTGTAGAAATGGCTTTTTGCAAAAGGGCCCGGAGGCGGAATTAGAGCCTGTCCTGGAAAGGATGATGCCTTCGCGGGCACCTCTTTCCATTACTCCAGTGCTCCCGTGATTTTAAATATGTGCACCCTGCAGACTTCAGCCTTCTAGTGTCCTGGGTGAATAAATGCCAGGATTGCTCCAATGCTGGCAAACCTGAAACAGGAATTTCTCTGCATTAAGTTTGTCACCAAAATGGGAGGTAAGGGGAGAGGGGAAGGAACTTCTTGGCCTCGTCAGCCCTTTTCTTGAAACTCACAGTCAAACTTTGTCAAGTTCTAGGTGATAGTGCTTGAGGCGATGCACTTATTTATGTTATGTCTTGTTTTCTGAGTACGGTGCTTCGAGAATTTAAATATTTAGGTGAAATTGCCATGCACAGTTGAATTGGCACCATAATTTGACTCTCTGTAAAGCCTTTTGGTTTCCTGTTAGAGTGACCATTTTTTGAGTCAACTGAAGCAAACCCTGCTGTCAGCACGAAGGAGCCACTTTATAGTTAGGAGATCAAATTAAATAGAATTCTCCTAAATAGAGCGTGCTCTTTTCATAAATTTTAAAAATTCATTTATTCATCAAACACATACTGAGTACTTATCACCCTGGTTGCTAGTTACTGTTCATATATGTTTTTAAGGAATTACTTCCACCTAGCTCTGAAATAACATTGCATTTAGAATTTAGCCCAGAGGTGATTAAGCATGAGCTTTTCACAGCAGTCCTGTTTTCATTTTTACTTGAGAACATGTTCTCAGACTCGGTGCCCAGCTGACGTTACCTGTGCATTGCCCGAGGCACACACCTGGCCGGGGCTGTGTCTCGGGGGCTTCAGAAGAGGAAGGAAGGGCTGCCAGGCATCTGGCCCTTCCACGTTTCCCTGGTGGAGGGATTAGGCCTTGGGCAGGAGTCTTGGCTTGTCTTAATGGATGAGCTTGTGTCTCTCAGTCAGCTCTGCCTTGGTGTTAAGCTCTGGACTGACTCTGACCTCTGAGTGGCAGAGGAGAGGACGGTGATTTAGAATCAGTCATGCAGACCAGGGCACTCAGCGGGTCTTGGGTAAAAAGTGGTGGCAATCGATTGCTTGCCCTTTTGGGAGAACTGTGTGGATTGACTCCTCTGAAGACCTCTTTGTTTTGATTTTATCTTGAGACTTTGTAGAAGCAAAAATGCCTTTAAACAAAATTAAATGATGGGCTTTTGTAATGTTTGTGTCTCCCCAAGATTCACAATTGGAATCCTCACCCCGGAGGAGATGGTGCTAGGAGGGGGAGCTTTGGGTGGTGAGGAGGTCATGAGGGTCTCATAAATGGGATTTGTGCCCTCATAAAAGGGACTACAGAGAGCTCCCTCGCTCCTTCCACTGTGTGCGGACCCAGTGAGAAGGCGCCGTCTGTGAACCAGGAAGCCCTCACCAGACAAACCTGTCAGGTCTTGACCATGGACTTCCTAGCCTGAGAGCTGTGAGAAATGAACTTGTGTTGCTTGTCAGCCCCCGCCCAGCCTATGGTGTGTTGTTACAGCAGCCTAGGTGGACAAAGGCAGGTTGTGAATTTTCTGTTGTTTGTCAGTCCCCGCCCAGCCTATGGTGTGTTGTTACAGCAGCCTAGGTGGACGAAGGCAGGTTGTGAATTTTCTGTTGCTTGTCAGCCCCCGCCCAGCCTATGGTGTGTTGTTACAGCAGCCTAGGTGGACAAAGGCAGGTTGTGAATTTTCTGTCAGATTTTCTGGCTTCAGATACCTGGTAGGGAAATGTCACCATCTTACGCAGGTGGGACCGTGTGGAATCAGACGTTATGTTATGATTTGACCCTGTTCTTGCCCCACGCCTGTGCAGTTCACACCTCCAGGTGTCTCGGCTGCCCGCGGCCCCTCCAGGTGTTTCTGATGCGGGGATGTGGGTGCTGGTGCACACGAGTCCCATGTGGTGCCGGTCGCAGCTATGCCGTCGGGGAGCAGGACTAGGAGCTCCCGCCCCTCGTGAACCAGCAGCCTCACCGGGAAGCTGCTGAGAAGTGTATGACGGAAGGTGATTGCGCCTCGAGACTGAAACTTCCTGTTTACAGGGAACTGAGGTGCATAAGAGGGAATTTAATGATGCCCTGAGAGACAGATGCATCTGGGGGACGTTCTGCAGGACGTTGGCCCCAGACTCTCGAAAAGTCATCACAGATAAAGGGTGTGAGGCTGTCCCTGACGAAGATGGGGAAGGAGAGTCACTCGGCGCAGTGTGTGGCCCAGATAGAAAAGACGTTTTCGGGAGAATTGTGCTTATTGAATATAAAGTGGACAGCGATGCTCTGAAATGGTTCTTGTCTGCCGATGATGGTTCTGCGGCTGCAGAGGGTCCTTTATTCTTAGGGAACGCGTGCGTGAGGACTCGGCGAGGTGGCAGGAGCCTGTCACCTTCAACTGGCTCCAGAGGAGAAACGAATCTGTCTCTCTGTATAATCTACAGAGAGAGAGAGTGAGAAAGCAAATCTACCGAAATGTTAGTTGTCGGAACTCCACGTGGAGAAAACTTGGCCACTCATTGTACTGTTCTTCCACTTTTTAAATATGTTTGAACATTTTCATAATGAAAATGTGGGAAAGTAAAAATACATCTGGAAATTGGTATGGAAGTGAGTCAAGCCAAGCACCCTTGGGTTCAGCCGGGAAGAGCCGACGAGCCGACGAGCCGTTGGTGTTCTGTCGACTTGTGGGGATTTCCTCCTCCTGGGTTCACCACCTAGTTTTCCTTGTGATAAAGTTATTTTGTATGTAGCTATGAGCACAGGTTGATGCTGGAAACACACATGTAGTGTGGATTGTCATTAAGAATGTGGAGAACTGGCTAAAGAAACCACTTGTACAGTTTTGAGATGAGCACTGCCTGCCTCAGCATCTGTGGTAACGGCTTCACTTGGGTGCAGAGCTTGGCAGAGGTTTGAGTGACTCTATCTCGATGATCGTCTGTCAGAGGACAAGGTTAAGTGTCACCACCGAGGACCCCGTTGAGCCTCTGGGCTGGAAGTAACTTCCCCTGGGCCGGTGAGGCAGCCTCTGGGGGTCTTTCCTGACAAGACCCTTCACTGAGCTGCAGTTTGGCCACCTCTGCCCTCGCCTCCCTGACTGCAGGGCCTCGAGGTCTCACCACCTCCAGCCTGAGCGCCCAGTGCCCAGGGGCAATTTCCCGCCTTCCCCGGGGGCTCAGGATGCTGGCTCCTGGGGCAGTGCCCGCAGCTGGGCCCCTCCTCCAGGGCTGGCCACGGCCTCCTGCTGTGTCATACCAGCTGCTTCCCCGCAGCTGCAGCCCACACTGCGCGGCCGCTTCTGCTTCTGTTGGATGAGGAGACGCAGGCCCTCGCCCAGGCCCCCATGGGCCCTCAACGCCCCAGAGACCCGGCTTCCCGGCCTCGCCCCTGCTGGCCCTAAGGCTGTGCCACCTCCCCCTGCCCAGTCCCTGGTCTCTGTACAGTGTCTGTCCAGGACGTCTATCCATCCATCCTTGACAACCTGTCCAGATGAGGCCACTGTTATCCCAGTCTGTGAGGGGCGATCACAGCCCAGGTGCCGGCCGATGTGGAGACGCTGATGGACTTCAGTGTGCAGGAAAGTGAGTTCCTTCATATCCACAGCCAGCTGGGAGCCCACCCCATTCACAGGTGGATTTGCCTTGTTTTTTGGCCCAATCACCTACATTAAATCAGAAGAATCACAGTTCCCTGCTCTTCTGGTTTTTGTGACTGTCCGCCTCTCTCCTCTGCCTTGGATTGGAGGGTGGGGTGTGTCATGGGTTCGTGGAATCCTCTCTCTGTTCTTGTGTAGCCACCAGGGACTGTTATCCAGGCTGATTCCACAGGAGGAGTTTGGGGTGAGTTCCTGAGCGAGAGTTGGGAAGACTGACGTCTGCGTAAATCTTGCTTGTTCGTGGTTATTCCTCTCAGTCTTCTTAAATTCTGAAAAATTGGGGGCCAATTAGAAATAAGGATTTAGGTATGGATCGGTGAGGACAGAATGTTGATCTAATTGGCTTTACGTTGTGTGTGATAATTTTACGCTACCCTCCGGAAGAACTTAAGATGTTGACAGTGTCGTGAGAATCATTTTTTTCTTTTTCTTTTTCTTTTTCTTTTTTTTTTATTTTTGAGATGGAGTCTCGTTCTTTTTGCCCAGGCTGGAGTGCAATGGTGCAATCTTGGCTCACTGCAATCTCTGCCTCCTGGGTTCAAACAATTCTCCTGCCTCAGCCCCCCAGTAGCTGAGATTATAGGTGCTCACCAACACACCCAGCTAAATTTTTGTATTTTTAGTAGAGACAGGGTTTCACTCTTAAGGACGTTGTTCAGTAAGTACTAATTGGTGGCCTGCCGTTGAACTAATTTCAGTGTAGTACTGACATCATCAGCCACGGCAGAAACTTACTTGGCATCCCTGGAAGAGAGGGCAGGGAAGCATAGCAACCTGAAACCACCTCATTCTCCAGCGCTACTTCCAACTCTGAGCTGATGGTCATTACGAGTGGATCTGCCCTGGACAAGTAGTTTAGTGTAGCTGCCTTGGACGGGCAGGTGAAAAGTAACAAACCGCCAGAAAACTCAGCTAATAAAATGTTAGGAGAGACTTGGGGCACCAGGAAGGGGTGAGGCCTGTCTGTGTGCCATCTGTGTGGAGCCTCAGTATCTAGGGGACAGCGTTGACGCTGAGCCCCAGGTTTTTATTAGTGTTTCCCTGAATAAAACGCCACTCCTGAGCTGTGGACTGGGAGGCTCTTTCTGATGATTAGGCTTCATAATGCGGGATCACTAGGCAAGGTGGATGTGAGGGCCATAGGATCTGGAGACTGTCCAGGACTGCTTTCTGGAAGGCGGCCAGCCTGCTGGAGGGGGACAACAGGCTTGTCCCTTCAGCAGTGAAGCCACCAAAGAGAGTCTTTTTGAGAATAAAAGAGAGAAGCTTTTAAGGAAAAAAAGCAGTTTCTGTCTCTGTTTGGGAGTTGAGTGCATTTTCCTGCATTTATTCAGAGATGTTCGTCAGTTCCCACTGTGTGCCGGGGCCCCGCTATGGGGTAGGGTCACCCCACCGCGTACCTAACCCAGGAAAACTCGTCTGCAGTTATTTCAGAGGCTGTTTGCATTTCTTGTGCTTCAATGGGTGGAGGGAGTTTTTCCTCCTACTGTTTTTAGTCAGTTTTCTTAATCTAGCCTGTTACTGGGATAAGTTCCAGAGCCGAGCAGTTTTAAAAACAATCTTTGCACCTTGCATGGAGAGCAGTCCATCTGTGGGTGGTTTGTTCCTGGAGGTGCTGCAGTGGCCTTGGGTGACGCGAGGGCCCCCTGGCTCAGGATGGGCCGAGAGAGGAATGCGTGAGCAGTGGGCACCGGCCGGAGGCAGGGGAGGCGTGGCCACCTGTGGCTCGAACTCTCCCCATCCACTCTACGGCACCACCTCGGACTCCCCGCGTCCGCTCTGCAGCACCGCCTCGGACTCCCCGCGTCCGCTCTGCGGCACCGCCTCGGACTCCCCCCGTCTGCTCTATGGCACCGCCGGAATGTGAACGCTGTTGCCCTGGACGTTTTCTCTCTCTGCTCAGTGCCCAGGCTCTTGGGTACACAGGCGGCCCCGGGTTTTATTTGGAAAGGGTACAGAGAACAGTGAAGTAACCCACGTGCCTAAGCTTTGATTGACATGAAGAAATGTAGAAGCTGCTGAAATCCTGGTCATTTTAGAACAAAGTATCTTATTAACATTTTTCTAAAAGAAAGAAATCATTAAAAAATTGATCCCGGTTGAGGTAGAAGGATCTCGTCCTCATCCTCCTCAGTTCCTTCCAGAATCAGCTTCGAGTTCAGCTGCAGAACGGGTTCTGGTGGTGGCTGGAGCAGCCCAGGAGGGTGCCGTTGCGTCTGAGTTCACACCGGTGCCTGTGTGGTCTCCAGTTACGGTGCTGGCCGTGGAGTCTGGGTTCACACCGGTGCCCGCATGGTCTCCAGTTACGGTGCTGGCCGTGGAGTCTGGGTTCACACCGGTGCCCGCGTGGTCTCCAGTTACGGTGCTGGCCGTGGAGTCTGGGTTCACACCGGTGCCCGCGTGGTCTCCAGTTACGGTGCTGGCCGTCGGGTCTGGGTTCACACCGGTGCCCGCGTGGTCTCCAGTTACGGTGCTGGCCGTGGAGTCTGGGTTCACACCGGTGCCCGCGTGGTCTCCAGTTACGGTGCTGGCCGTGGAGTCTGGGTTCACACCGGTGCCCGCGTGGTCTCCAGTTACGGTGCTGGCCGTCGGGTCTGAGTTCACACCGGTGCCCGCGTGGTCTCCAGTTACGGTGCTGGCCGTGGAGTCTGGGTTCACACCGGTGCCCGCGTGGTCTCCAGTTACGGTGCTGGCCGTGGAGTCTGGGTTCACACCGGTGCCCGCGTGGTCTCCAGTTACGGTGCTGGCCGTCGGGTCTGAGTTCACACCGGTGCCCGCATGGTCTCCAGTTACGGTGCTGGCCGTGGAGTCTGGGTTCACACCGGTGCCCGCATGGTCTCCAGTTACGGTGCTGGCTGTCGGGTCTGAGTTCACGCTGGTGCCCGCGTGGTTTCCAGTTACAGTGCTGGCCGCTTGTACCTTTCTGGGAAGTTAGAAGGAGGATCATTTCATCGCCTCCCTGTCCTCCCACACCTTGACCTATACTGGGCCACCGCGAATTCTTCCTTTTAACTGTTTCTCTCTTCACAGGCAACACTGGCGTTTTGTGGTCCACGTTTGCCTCTTCTGAAAACGGATTCTGTGTTGCTTTATAGAATCACATGGTCTCTTTTATGAATTTCGCTTTTCTTTCATAAAATAATCGTGCTTTTATCTCTTCAATCTCAACTCTGTTCCCTGGCACAGGCTCTTCCCAGCTCAAAAATTAAAAGTAATCTTTGATTACGCTTAATACTTTCTAAAGTTTTGAAGTTTATCAGCATGTGGGTTACAGAACATTGACTATTTATTTAATGGAAAATTACATTCTAAGTAGAGTATTAAAGTGAAAGGGATCTTTTGATTTTATTAAAATATTCAGGTAAACATATGAAAATGCCTTCGCCAAACTTCATGCTTGTATATCATGAAAACATTAAGCTGCTAAGCTCTCTCTGCTCCCGGGAATGCATTATTAGAGTATGTGTTTGAAGGTGTCATTCCAGTCTTAGTTTTAGGTATTTTTTAAAGGGGTTGGCTGGAGAAGTGACATTTAGCATTGAGTGAATGTTTGATAAAGATTTGTCTCTATATAAAAATATTTAAAAACAATCTTTAGCGTTTCCTTTCAGGGTTCACCCATTAAAGAATGGTCTTGTAAAAAAAAAACATGTTAAGAGTGTTGGCGCCCAGAGGTGCTACCCTGCCCACAGTTTCATCATCCGCTGTCGCCAGGTGACACGTCCAGTGTTTAGCTGCATGTCAGACGTGGCCACAGGGCCACAGGACATCCCTGCGGACGGATGTTCTTATGCAGATTAATTAGGATGGAGACTGCTGCAGAACTGTAAACCCCCCAGGGGCTGACGGAAGCCTGGGAACACCCGAGACACCAGAATCCGCTGCTACAGTGGGTGGAAGGAAACCTCCCTGGAAGATGGGACATGTAATAAGGAGAAAGTACCAAGGCACGTGGTGCTTTGAAAACTGAGATGTTTTAATTAAATTAACAATTAAAATAATTTAATTATGTGAATTATTTGAACTCATTTTAGTTCTTTTTAGGAAATTAATACTTTAAGCAAGTTTGTTTTTGTGAATCGTTTGAATTAATTGAGTCAGCACAAATGTTAGCATTGATATCTGACCCCCTTCCAGGGTTGGGGCAGAGGAGATGGGGGCGGAGGAGCCAGGCCTCCAACCCGCTTTCCCCTGGAGCTCAGCCAGAATTCCCCATTGAGGAGCCCTCAGCTCCCTGAGAGCCAGGAGCTCTTGCGGAGAAGCCACTGTCTGCACGCCACCTGCTTCGATGACCCTGCTCTGCCATCCCTGTGCTCCAAGGGCCGGGCCCTGCCGTTGCCTGTGCCAGACGGGTCTCAGGGAGATGCCGGCCAGCAGGTATGCATGGCGAGGCCTGGGCATCAAGGCCCGGATTCTATGGCTGCCAGTTTCATTCTCTCGTTGTTTGTCCCCCTAGCAAGACTTATGAGGTTCCTTGAGGACAAGACTCCCTCCTGCCACCTGGTCTGTTTCCTGAACATTCACTGCACTAGCACGGCCCCGGGACGCAGCCCTTGGGAATCAGGCCGTCGGCCATGGTAGAGCGGCTGGCACTGCTCGGCACCGTGACGGACGTTGGCCGCTGTGCTTCACTTTGGGGACATGTTTAAGTACAAAACTAATTTTAAAATTTCACCATTATTTCAAGACAGCTGAGAGCATATTAGCACAGAATCCCTGGTCTAAATGAAATCGAAGAGTTCTTATTAATTATTCATAATGCCATGAATATGTTACCTTATTTTTTATAATTGCCAGTCTGTATAATTAACCTTTCATTTGGTTAAAGTACTTAACATTAAGTAGAGCTATAATTACAACTGTTTTTAAAAGTATATGGAAGAATGTTTAAATGTTTAATTAGAACCACTTTTTTTAGCTTCATAAAGAATTTTTTTTACTTGTCAACAAGGATCTTTAATTATTTAAACCAAAAGAGCAGAACAGACCAGAAAAGAAAAACAACTAGTCAAGCTGGGAACTGCAATGGTGGCGTCGTTCCGTGAGTCTCGGGTTTTGCTTCTTGGGTTTGTGGTCAGAGTCCTTACCTTTGATTTCCTAACACAGGTTGTTAGAGTTGGAAGTGAGTGTGGAGATGAGTTAATCCGACTTTATTCTTTCACGGATGAGAAAGCGAATTATCTTCAGCAAGGTGGGTGCAGGTGTGGCCCCCGGGGGACACTGTGGGGAATAGGCCGCCCTCGTGGGGAGCCAAGTTCGTCGTCTCCGGGACAGAGCCCAGGACACTTCCACGGCTGGCTGGCCTCTTCCTAGAACCCCACACATTGCAAAGGATGGAGTCCAGATCTATACTGTAAAGAAATGAGGGCAGTTACAGAAAGCACCACATTCTCGGCTGAGTGGCTCTGGGCACCCCAACGTTGGGACACCTCAGCATCATGTATGGCGATCCTCAGGCTGTGCCCAGCAGTGAGGCTGGGCCTGATCAAGGCTGCGGTCTCCACCCTGAGAGCGAGGGCTTCCTTCCCCCAGCGCGGGTTAAAGCAGTGAGGCCGGGCCTGATTGAAGCTGCGGTCTCCACCCTGACAGCTTGAGCTTCCTTCCCCCAGTACGGGTTAAAGCAGTGAGGCTGGGCCTGCTGGAGGCTGTGGTCTCCACTCTGAGAGTGAGGGCTTCCTTCCCCCAGTGTGGGTTAAAGCACCATGTGTCCACCTATGCAGTGGCTGGTCCCAGTGTGCCCTGAGGGGCAGAAACCCTGGGTCCTGCCGCTGGTCTGGGGTATCTACTTCCCATTCCTGCAGTTCCTGGGAGTGTCTGTGTGTCCAGGGGGCTCCGATCCCTGCCTCAGGACCACGGGTGAGGGGTCAAGATCGCCCGCTTTGGAGTTGGCCCGGATCTTGGTTCTGTGTGGCTCTGGAGCAGTTTTGTCCTCAGGAGAGGGATCCTCACAGCCGCCTCTTGGGACCATGAGGAGAATTAATAGGATGACCCCCAGGTAGCTACCGTAGCCCTGTGCAGGGCCAACCGTGTGTCTCCACCGCCAGTTCCTTCCGTCTGTGCTCCCACCAACTGTCACATCACCAGCCTTTATTTTCTTTTTCTTAGACCCAGACAGCGAGTGCCCCACTGGCCTCGGCAGCCCCTTCTCTAACTTGTCCTCAAATCAGTTCCTCACGGACAGCCCTGACCAGCCATTGGCATGACCAAAACCCCACCAAATAGAACCCAACTTTCCTATTAAGCTGTGCAGAGCAGTCCCAGCCCCACTTCCCACAGGCTGACCTCATTCGCCATGGGATCCGTGGTTCTCACCTGGGGCTGGGGGTGCCCCTGGCATCTGGTGGGGAGTGTCAGGGATGCCCTTCCAGGTCCAGGATAGTCCCCCAGCTGGTGGCCGACAGACAGCAGCACACAGCCTGATGTCCCTGTGGCTTCCGGTTCCCCGAGGCCAGCTGTGCTTTGCTGCCTCTTCATCTTCTCAGACGGGTGCCCTCTCTCCACCTTCGCTGGTTAGCAATGTTCATCCATTAGAGCTCAAAGCACTGCCTGCTGGCAGCACAGCCCCTTCTCCTGGCCCTCCGTCCGCCTGTGCCCCACGGTCTGTGCCGTGTCCCCGCCTTCCGCCTGTGCCGCATGGTCTGTGCCATGTCCCCGCAGGCCCATCAGAGCGAGGCTCCCAGGGACAGAGCGTTTCCTGTTTGTGTCTCTGTCCCACCCTCTCTGGACCTGGCATGATGCCCGTTGCCAACAGAGGTCTTGGGTTGATTGTCACCAAAGCAGATAATCTATATGGCTGTAAATGGCTGTAAACATGCTTGATTGGGGTATTTTTTAAGTAATTGGATATGTAAACATTTGAATGTGACACAGGTGGATTTTTGGGCCAATGGTCTCGTTCTTCAGGGAATAACCACAGGCCCATCCACAAGGACCATTTCTGGCTGATTTATGGAACACTGTTCTACCTGGTTAATTTTGGACGTTATCTCAGCCTGAGAGGTAGGTCAGCAATGTGACGAAGAGCACTGGTTTGAATCCTAATCTGCTACTTAGAAGCTGCATATTTTCCTGCCACGTTCTGTGCCTCAGTTTCTTGCTTGGTTAGGTAGGAAAGGTATGAGCTACCTCAGAGTGGTGAGTGAGGCCTGCATCGAGTGTCCGCATTAAAGTGCCGAAAACTGGACCCAGAGTGTTGATATTTAAAGACCTTTAAACATTCCGATGCTGCATTTTAGTACCCCGGTAAAACAGCAAAGTCGTTACAGATGCAGACACAGACCCTGGGTGAGGTGGGGGACTGATGGTGGGAGGTGGGTCACCAACCCCGTAATGAGGGCGTGGTCTGTTCGAGGCTGAATGAAGTGCACGTCTTCACGTGTACCACGGTGGTGCCTCTCGTGAAGTCCTGTAAGCGTCCACGTGGCTGAGCCGTGCGGTCTGTTTGTGACGTCTGGCAGGAGCAGAGCTTTTGGGCGCAGCCTCGCTCTTGCGTGCACGGCCCTCAACGATCTCAAAAGTCTGAGGCTTAAAGCAGGCTTGGGGTTTCCCTTACACCTCCCGGACATCTAATTTGCCTGGCAAACATGTTATTCTTGGGTGTAAAGGTGAAGGAGTGGGTGACTCTGGTGAAAGTGTACTAATTACTGCACTTCTGGGTCAGTGGCGCTCGGTTGAAGACACTGTCTGCCCTGGGTGGACATCTCTGGTGTGGTGAGAACCGGCGGCTGGATGTCGCGAGGTTGCCAAGAAGATGCCCGCTTTTTCCTTTTTCCTCAGTAACAAAACCCTACTTTGTTTAGGGAAGCAGCGAACCCAGCTGAAAATCCAGTTCTCTTGTACGGCAGAGCGGCTGGTGACACAGGTCCAGATGCTGGGATGCTGATGGGGGGTTTTGGAGAGGGAGGTGTCGGGAGGGTTTCCCGACCCACAGCAGCCCTGGGCCCTTGTCCGGCCTTCTTGCCCGGGGCATGACGCCTGGAGGGAAAGCAGCTTCGGGGGCCTGAGGGCCACAAGGCAGAGTCCTGGTGTGTGGGGCAGGCCTGGGCCAGGCTCCTTGGAGGATGTTACAGAGCCACTGCGTGTGCGGGGACCACCCATCTCTGAGCCCCACGCGGATTTTCCTCCATAGCCGAGCGAAATCCTGGTACGGCGAGCGAGGCAGTCAGAGGCACCTTTTGTGGAAGGAGGACAAAGCTGGAGGGAAGGAGGTTTTCCTAAAAGGCACAAGGCACTGATACTGCGTTAGGAGTAATTCCTAGGAGCGTGGTAGCTGGTGGGTGGAAAACTGTAGCCAAAGAATAAATGGGAATGGCCCTTCTTGGTATTTAACTGATTCGTTCACGAATGGTCCAAACAGTTGTAGTGAAAAAAACATTTTGGACACCGATGTTTTCATCCTGCCTGACGATCGGCGTGACCGTGGGGTGTTCCATCCTTCCTGGGCAACAGTGAGAGGGCCTGACAATCGGCGTGACCGTGGGGTGTTCCATCCTTCCTGGGCAACAGTGAGAGGGGCTCAGGCCCTTCTGGCCCCATGCAGGCATTTCCCCAGGGTGTGTCCCCCGTCCTGAATAGGCCGGAATGCCTCTGGGTGCAGCTGAGCCTCTTGAAAAGGGAAGAGTCATGTGACATGCTCTCGGTGAACAGGAAAATGAGGGAGGACAAGGAGAGGGGCCTGGAGGTGAGGAGGATGGTGACCAACACCAGGGATGGGATGGAGGGTAACCCCGGGGACGGGGGACGGAGGGTAACTCCGGGGACGGGGGGACGGAGGGTAACACCGAGGATGGGGGATGGAGGGTAACACCACTTCTCCAGGTGCCTTTGGGGGATGCTGCCGCCCCTCCCACCCCAGAGTGAAGTCAACAGGATTCTGTCCCCAGGAGCCCCAGAGCCTGGCAGCTGGGATTGGCCCAGTATGAACCACTGTTCACTGGCTCTGCACCCTGGGACAGGCTCCCTGGTGTTTCCGCCCCAGTTTCCCATCTGGACAGTGAGACCCTGACTGTCCCCGTCACAGGTGCACATGGAGGCCTGGACTCTAGCATGTCATCGGCACTCGTTAGTGTCAGCCCTCGTTAGCGTTTCTTTTGTCGTGGTCCATGGACGAAGTGGATCTTGCTTTGTGTGTTCACAGACCTCCTGCTCACTTTACCTTCTGGGAACACTTTGTAAATAGCTTCGTATGTGGGGAGGACTCAAGTGATTAATTGAATATTTCATCAGGTGCAGTTCTCTGTGTCCCAGCTTGCAAAACGCTCTTTTGACACAACATTTGGTGAAATTTCCAGGGACTCCTGTGGTCAGCCTCATGGTTTCACTCTGTCACTTTCTAATGCAGTGTTCTTTGGGAGTCTTTTAAATTAGGTGCCCTCATTTAAAAGTAAGTTTTATAATATGCAGTTTCAGGTTACTTCTTTACCTTTGTGTCTTAGGCAGTGGCTCCCCACCTGTGAGTAGTCAGAAAGGTTCACGCAGTTTTCCAGGGCGGCCTTTGCATTTACTGGAACTATTAAGAGCTCGTTCCTGCTTCAGCCGTGATTGAAGCGCAGTGTGCGTGAGGCCGTGCATGGCTTAGCATCTTCTGCAGGCTAGAGGTCACTTTCTGTCCTTCCCCGAGCCTGCTCTGCTGTGCTGAGTGTTCCCTGTGGGCGACGGTCACGCTGTCTGGCACAGGCCACCGAGGCCACAGGGCAGGCTCCCCGTAGGGGAGCCTGCAGAAAGGCAGAGCCCGGCCTCTTCGCGGCCTTTCACAGGGAGCAGAAAGCGTAAGCCTGTTATTAGAGCTGTGCTAGCCCAGAAAGCCTCCGAACAGTGTTTAATTTAGGAATCGGCTCCTACCAACTGCCCATTTTTAGGATGTATTTGAGTTTTTGTGATTTTTTTTCTGCACTGAAGCTACTGTGCTGGCTCTGAGTCACTGTCATGGGACTTCACGTTGCCCTGACGGGAAGCGGCGGGGGAGGAGGGCTGCGCAGAGGCTTGCGGCCGTGATAATGAAGGGCTTGTTGCCTCTTGGGACAGTGAGTTCAAGCTGTTTGTAATTGTCAGCGTAAACAGTGACCCGCTGAGGACACGGCTGTAATTCAGGGTGGCATGGTTGATTGTCATCGTTAATATCAGGCACCTGCGTCTAAAATGACGGTGCCCATAGTGCGGCTCCAGGAGGGCTGGGCAGCTCCTGCCCAACACACATGCTCCTGGGCCCTGGCAGCCAAGGTTGCGCCGCCGGCCAGGCCTGCAGCTGTGGGTGCAGCGGGGCCTTCAGGGCACCGAGCGCCTCCCTCGTTTGCTCGTGGGGCCCACCCCTCTGTCCCCAGTGCGGCTCCCCCCCCGGGTTCTCCCGGCCACATGCACACCTCCGTCTTCACAGCTTCCGTAGTTTTCTCGTGGGTGCCCCAGGTGAGCTCCTGGGGAGGGTTCATGTGTCAGTCAGGTTCTCTCCAAGCGTCCCTGGCTCGTGGCTCAGCAGGTCCCTTTCAGATGAGTCAGCCAGCTGTGTGCCTGCATATTCAGCATACTTGTCAGGGGGCTGCCTCAGGTCAGAGCAAGACCGACGCTCGCCTCCTCCGTGGGACTTTGGAGCCCGCCCTGGAGAGACTCCAGCCACATCCAGAGGGGCTGCCCGGGCCCCCGTGGGCTGGTGGGAGTGACTTCCAAGCCACTCAAGGCCCCACTTTGTGTTCGTACACCCTAGAAAGGCACTTAAAGAGCCGTGTTCTGGTGCTGTGTGCCTCTTGAGTGAGGCACAAAAGCCTGGATGTGGAGCTGAGCGGGCGCTGCCTTCCTCAGGCTGTGCTTGTGTTTTGGGGCCCCTGGAGCACTTGTGGCTGTGATTTTTGATGCTGTCTGTGGGCTCCCCTAGACGGTCCCACCTGCAGCGTGAGGGCCCCATCTGCAGCCACCGAGGAGCTGGCAGGTCCGGCTTTGGTCCCACTCAGTCCTTCTCAACTTTGGTGACAGAGGTGACAGCAAAGCTTCAGCTGGGAGCCCCAGGCCTTCCCCGCTTGGGACCCTGGGACCGAGATAACAGATCCCTCCATCCATGTGCTGGGGGCCTCGCCGTGCGGCTCCCTTCTCTGGTCAGGGGCTGCGCCCTTGGGCTGGGCAGTTCCCGAGTCCTCGCACTCAGGGGCTCAGGGCGGGTCCCGGGTGCAGAGAGAAGGAGCAGGGTGGCGGTTCGAGCCCAACTGTGTTGGCTTCATCTTTGACCTCTTGTCTCTAAATATATTTGCAAAGTTTTCCAGATGAAAACTCAGAAGGAATTTTTAATGACTGTATAATCTGTGAAGGCTGTGGAAGCCAAGTCTGTCCGCCTCTTTCATCCACCTCACTTCTCACTGTTGGGGCTGATTTTGGCAGCATTCATAGGGGCATGGATGCAAGGGGCAGTGGCCAGCCCTCGGCCCTACATCCCTCCCCTGCTCCCCTCAGCCCTGCATCCCTCCCCTCTTCCCCTTGGCCCTGCGTCCGTCCCTCCCCTCCTCCCCTCCTCCCCTCAGCCCTCGGCCCTGCGTCCCTCCCCTCCTCCCTTCAGCCTTGCATCCCTCCCCTCTTCCCCTCGCCCCTGCGTCCTTCCTTCCCCTCCTCCCCTCAGCCCTCGGCCCTGCGTCCCTCCCCTCCTCCCCTCAGCCCTGCATCCCTCCCCTCCTCCCCTCAGCCCTGCATCCCTCCCCTCTTCCCCTTGGCCTTGTGTCCATCCCTCCCCTCCTCCCCTCAGCCCTCAGCCCTGCATCCCTCCCCTCCTCCCCTCAGCCCCACAGCATTTCGGTTTCATCCCCTTCTCTGCACCCGTCCTCATGAAAACCTAAGTGCGGCTGGAGGGAGACGCCTGTGCCCATTCCCGTGACCTCCCTCGCCAGCACGGCTGCAGCGTCCCCTTGGCAGGCATCCGTCTGGTGCTGCCTCTGTGCCCCCTCCTGTCAAGTGCGGCTGGAGGGAGATGCCTGCGCCCGTTCCTGTGACCTCCCTCGCCAGCCCGGCTGCAGCATCCCCTCGGCACACATCCATCTGGTGCTGCCTCCGTGCCCCCTCCTGTCACCTGATGCTCGTGCTCCTGAATCTTCACACGCGTGCTCCGTGCAGCCACCTCACTGGCTCCCTGGGAAGGGTGACAATGTCTCACGCCTGTCAGAATGCACCTCTCTGTGCACTGAATATTCCAACACAGAATCATTCCTCTGTGATGATTTATGCTTTGCGCTGTAGAATTGGAATAAAGAAAAAGTGAATTTAGACATTACAGCCATCAGGCTGAAGCTGGGTAATTGCATTAGGGAATTAAATGAGAGCATTTGAGCTTCTCGAGCTCTAATTCCACATCTTTGTATCCCCATCACCCCATACCCAGTGTCTAACACAGCTCTTGATCTAGTAGTTTCTTGATAAATGCTTATTGAATTGAACTGGACTGAGCTTAACATTCCCACCTGGAGTTAGAAGCCAGTCCCTGAGCAAGTTACATTTAGAACGTGAAGAACGTGAGTTTGACGTTACTGTGGTAAGGGGTATCCTACACGTCATAATTCCAAGTCAATATCGGGTATTTAGTCAAATGGACTCAAGCATAGAGAGGCATTGGCCCATCGGCGAAAGGGCAAGGCATGGTGCTTTAGGTCCAGGTCCCTGATATCAACTATGAAAATAAAATGTTGTCAACTCCAATTACAGCCCTGTCCTCAGCTGGTCACTGTTTATGCTAACAGTTATAAACAGCTTGAACTCGCTGTTCTGAGAGGCAACACGCCTTCCATTCTCACTGCAATGCAGCTGCTTTGGTGGATGGAACATGCCTCTCTTCCCTCCCTCCCTCCCCCTCCTCCCTCCCTCCCCCTTCTTCTCTCCCCCTCCCTCCCTCCCCCTTCCTCCTTTCCCCCTCCCCCTCCCCCTCCCTCCCTTCCCTCTCCCCCCTCCTCCCTCCCTCCCCCTCCTCCCTCCCCCTCCTCCCTCCCCCTACCATCTCTCCTGGGCGAGGGGTGGAGGAGAAGAGACTTCTGGAATCTTCCGCTTCATCCAAGCAGCTTGGGGGCAGCATCAACAGCTGCGACTTGGCAGCCCCAGCAGGTGCCTCAGGGCAGCCTTTCTAATGGGAATCCTGGAATCATGTCTTTCCTTAATGTGTCCTAAAGGCTGGAGGACACAAAGGGAAACAATGCTCAATGCTCAGTCCTGTGATTTTGTGTATTTATTGGACTTACTTTGAAATTAAACTAAGACACACGGTAGAGCATTAAAAAAAAGAAAAAACAGGCTATGGTGTTTGAAAAACAAACAAAACCATTTGGTTTGTTGGTTTGTTCTTAGACCTTCACAGTAGATTCTAGGTCACATGTTTCAGTTTATCAGCGAATGACATCCTCTCCGGAAGCCATGTCAACCTCTTGTTTGATGATGTCAGCCGCAGCAGAAAGAAGCACTCCGTAGGCCCCGTGCTCAGCACCTTGGCATGAGCTCCTGCCGTCTTTTGTTCATGCTCATCACAGCTCTGTGCAGTGGGCGTCCTCCTGATCCACGTGGGAGGATGGAGGATGGAGGCGGAAGGGTGAGTGATGGCAGGATCACACGAGGGGTCTCCCCCGAGATAGGGAGGGGAGCCGGCCCAAGACCTCAGTGCCCATCGCATCCTTCCTCCTCCTCCTCTTCCTCTCTGTGACTGTTTGACTCAGGCTGCAGGGACAGATGTATGTGCAGAGTGTGTGTGCACCCCTGGGGGGTGTGTGCTCATATTGGCATAGACTCGTGAGCGCATACAGAGCGTGTGTGCACACCTGGGGTTGTGTGCTCATATTGGCAGACTCGTGAGCACATAGTGTGTGCACCCCGGGGGTGGTGTGTGCTCATATTGGCACAGACTCGTGAGCATGTACAGAGCATGTGTGCACACCTTGGGGGTGTGTGTGGGTGTTGGCAGGGACAGATGTGTACAGAGCGTGTGCACACCTGGGGGTGTGTGCTCATATTGGCACAGATGAGCATGTACAGAAGGTGTGTGCACACCTGGGGGTGTGTGCTTATGTTGTTTGGTAAGTGGCGAATACGTGGCCCGTTGCGTCGGGCGGCCCTGTGCCTGTGTTGAGTCCGTCAGTGGCCCCTTGGGTCGGGGTCTCCCTCTCTGAAGACTGCACTCAAGTGTCTTGAGGTTTCAGATTCTTCCTCTCCAGGTACTTGGGCCTCCTCAGGACCAAACGTCAGAACCAGCCAACTGAAAACTACAAGAACGTTCAAATGCATCTTCAGTGGGAAAAACAAAAACAACTGGAATAATCTTCCCACATGACCCCGTGGTTAAGCCGTTAGATACTCCAGCCGACAGATTTAGTTACTATAAAATTCACACCAATTAAAATGGTTTTGAGAGTTGCAGAGCTTTACCACTAAACGTTGAAATAATTGAAGCGTTCTGCTCCACTTGCTTACAAAGCAGGGTTGGGGATAACTTTCAGTCCAAAGTAGCAACCTTCTAAATCCAGCTTAGATGCGAGGCTCCCACTGACACAGGAGGAGACAGTGGCCCTTGTTTATTCTCCCGTGTTCAGATACTTTGTCATTTTTTTGTATCCTGATCATCACTTCTGCTTTTCCAATTCAAACTAAAGGTAGTTTAGTTCTGTTTTGGAGAAGCTGTGGTTAGTGGTTTCTTTTCATGGTTTGCTTAATTTCTTGTCTGGTGCTTAAATTTACCCAAATGGACTTTTCTTTAGTACGACGGTGCCATAGCCCAGGGCTTCTCCCTCCGTATCTGCCCCTCAGGAGGCCCCCTAGGAATGGGTGCTGGAGATCCAGCCCCTCTCCGTGTGCCGTTTTCTTTGAGTCCAATGTAGGTTTGGCTCAGAGAAGAAAACAGGCCTGTGGTTTAGGTGCCTCTGACTGCTTGCTTGTGAAACGTTTAATGATAAGGCGCCTTCCAAACTAATTTTACACATTGATAGTTGTAGCTTGAAGTATCACTGCAGTTGTAAGAACAAGAAACACTCCCATAAAATAGATAGGCAGAAAAAAGCCATAAAAATTGAATAAAGCACAAATAAAATGGCCTTGTAAGACTATACAAGGGGAAATGCTCTCCGTCCAGCCAGATCGGCTGTGGCGTCCTCCGTAAATACATTCAGCCACATGTGACCCTGATCGCAATCACTACTGTGAATTGTGATCCAGAATGTTCTTGGGGGCCGACACCTGGGCTGTGCCAGCAGCTGCATCTGATTGGGTGTCTTGCCGGTGATGTGCTTAGTGCAGCCAGCTGGGCTGAAGGGGTGGCCACCCCGTGCACTTGCCACGTGCAGCTGTTATTCTAGTGATGGAGCCGTGAGTGGTGTAGCTTGTCCACCTGGTCTACTTAAAGTACAGGGAACCCATCCACGGGCGGGTGCCTCCCAACACGGGAGCTGCCATTTTTATCCAGGACTCTCTGGCGCTGCAGAGCCCAGCCTGCCGGTCCCTGGGCCCATGGGGAGGCACCAGAGGGCTCTGCTGGGCCATGGAGGTCCCCGACCAGGTGGTCACTCATTGCTTGTGGAGTGGTCCATGGCCCATGAGTTTATTCCTGGGGTCTGTGTGGGTGAGGGTAACCAGGTTCACAGCTGGGCACTTACCCCTTGCACAGGTGACACTAGTTAAAGTGGAATCTATATTAGCTCGCACGGGAGTGCGTGAGGAGCTGGGTGGGAGGGCGGGCGGGCGGGCTTGGTCCTGGCCCTGGCATAAAGCCTGTGCTCCCGATATTCTGCGTCTTCCTGTTGAGGAGCCGCCAGGGCTGCCGTGGGCTCTGAAGATGGTGGGTGCCATAAGGACCAGGGGATGCGGAAGCCTCTAGAGGCTGAGGGAGGCAAGGAGACGGTCGCTTCCCCGGAGCCAGCCCTGCTGACATCTCGACGTTAGCTGGTGGGACCTGTTTTGGATTCCAGTTTCCAGAAATGTGAGAAAATAAGTTCGTGTTGTTTGGGGCACTAAGTTTGGGGTGATTTAATAGAGAAGTAGTAAAACTAGCCCACGAAGGTGCACGTATTGAAATGTGACTTGTCCAGGTGTTCACAGTGGCGTTAGGGGGACGGCATCAGTGTTCTGGGAACTGCAGTTTTACTGAAGGAAGGGGGCTCACCGTGCCTTTCCTCACATAACTGAAGGTATGTCCGCCTGCCACACAGCTCAGGAGACAGCGACTAGAATTCTGATTTTATTTCTTATGGGAAGCAGGCCACAGTCAGAACACAGTGAGGGCTGAAATGAGCTTCCTGCAGCCTCAGCTGGAAAGAAGAATTGGAAGTATTTTTGATGTTTTTCTACACAGACCTGTCCTTTCAGGTTTTGTTAAGTTCTGGAAAAAGGGAGAAGCCAGGCATACCTTGGCGAGGGACAGTGTTTCTGGCGATCGTGCGGCTTCAGCCTGAACGTGGCCGTGTGGCTGAGCAGTGCGGGAGGGCTCTGGTCTGCACGTGTCTGTGTGGACCGAGGTCACGGGGTATTGTCCCAAGCACTTATCCTGATCTGGCAGAGGCTCTGTTCCCAAATAATTATTCCACGGTTTCAGAGGCTGTAGCTGAGTGATAGTCTTTTAACTTTGTTGCATAAAAGCAAACAAAGTCTGTCATGAGAGTCTAAAAATCATTATTTAGTAGTCATGACTAAATTCATACATGGAGCTTTGGGATGGAGTGAAAGCCACCGTCACCTGGCGTGGACGCTGTGTGGTATTTTTAGCATGGTGGGCGCCTGCTCGTGCCTTGAGCTCTGTCTGCAGTGCGAGCGACAGCTGTGCATTTGAGAAATGTGGGCAGGTCAGCTTGCTCCTCCAGGGGCCTGCGGGCGTCCGGCTCAGGGGCCTGGGACGAGGCCATGTCAGTGGGAAGGAGCTTGGTTGTGTTTCAGCAGATATGTCTGCCTCTCCAGGCCTGCAAGCCAGCCAGAACCCAGTTTTCCTTTGGTCATCTAATGCCAGAAAAAAACCTGTTTCTTAGAGATTCTTGTAATTTATATTAATGAACCATTTGACCATACATAAGAAAATATTATCAGAAAAATGCATGAGGCTTTACAACTTGGCAGATGTGTAACTCACATGATTGAATCAAACTGTTGAAGATACTTGTTTCACTTGAGGGTTTTTAGCATTTTATGTGCAGACCAAATGCCAATAGCATTCTGAAAGAGTATTTTGGAATTTTAAACACACAATCACAGAGTGGGACAGTACTGGGTCCTGGGATGCTGGTGAGGTGGACGTGACCTCAAGCTCTTGGAGCTCACAAGCAAGCAGGATTCCTAAATTGTCACACCTGCAGTGCAGGGAAGTCAAAGTGGATTTCTGTAAACGAGGTATTAGTGCAATAAGGAACAGATGAGTGCCCTTGGAGGGCAGTTTTTGAGCCTCCCAGACACCTGGGGCTGGGGGGGCGGTTACCCACCAGAGCCTGGATGGTGGAGCTGGGTTTGCTGGTTGCCCTGTGTGGCAGGTCATTACGTGCAACAAGGAGCAGGTGAGCGCCCTTGAGGGTGGTTTCTCAGCCTCCTTCGGAACCGCAAGTGGAAGACGCCCCAAGCAGGGGTGGGGGTGGGGGGGTGGTATCCACAGGAGCCTGGACAGTGGGGCTGGGTTTGCTGGTGGCCGCTACGTGGCAGGTCACTGCGTGGAGCAATGGGAGGTGGGTGGAGTGGGAATAGAGGACACACCCTCCACAGCTACTGTTGGGAGTTGGCCCTGGTGGCAGAGGGTGCATAGAAGGATTCCCATCAAGGGCAACACGGCTAGGGTCCCACGTGTGCTGGATGCCGTGATATGGCCATGTGTGGTCTCAGTCTCCACAGCCACCCTGGGAAGTGGGTTCAGTTACCATTCCCATCTCACATTTGAGAAATCTCAGGGGCTCACATCACAGCTGAGTGGGGTGGAACTAGTGTCTCAGCCAGGACGTTGGCCCTAGAGCCCAGCTCTTACCCCGCTGCTATTTGCAGTCCCCCAAGTTTGTAGAGAGGCATGTGCGGTAGTGGGGGGCGGAGGTCGTGTATTTCAGGGGGCGGCTGAGATACCAACACAGTAGGGGCGGGGGGCAGGAAATAAGTCAGGCGGGAGGCACAGAGGCAGTGCCTGGGAGGTCTGCATGGGGTCTGGGTGTGGGGGCACCTCTGGGCCTGTGAACCCCGTTGTGTGCTCCTGGCTTGCCTAACCTTGGCCCTTAGCCATGTGCTACGCATTTTATGTGAAATCTCAGTCCCTCCCTGGCTTTCTTTCCTTAAATCACGGAGTCTCAGTGGGGATGGGGGGTGGTTGGTGGTCCATGGAATTTGCCCTCCACCTCCCCATCCTTGTCCTGTCTGGCCTGTTATCTGAATCTGTCTTTTCAGAGCCTGCAAATGAGTAGAGGCCACGGCGGCCTCTCGCTGATGGGCGTGGCTCTCAAATATTTTCATCAGAATTGTGTTAAATGCTGATTCCTAGGCACCCCATTAGACTCTCTATGCTTGCCTGGCCTGGGTACTTTGAGGAAGGTACACAGGGTTGCTGGGCTATTCCAGGAGGGAATTTGCATTTGTAGAATGTCCACTGTGGTCCTTCCCGCACTCTGCTCTCCACGCACACGTGGCATTAAACCTGGCAGACCTCTGGGTGCTGTGCTGGTGAGGAAGCCCTGGCTGGGCGAGGGGCTGTTGGGGCTCAGACTTGATTCCTGGTCTGGGGGCTGCCTGCTTATTCTGTTCAGTGGGCCCGCTGATGGGATGCCCTGGGAAGTCCCGCTGTGCAGAGACAGGCTTGGGAAATGCAGACCATGGATTTAAAAATTCCTAAAATAAGAAAATCTTTTATGAACAAAGCAAATTAATTTGCGTCTGACTGAAGACAATCCTTGCTTGAATAATTGGTTTGTTTACAAAATGGGTCCTATGGACAATAAACACAGATTAAAGTTTTCATTCATGCTTGTCTGTAACGTAAATAGGAGCTATTACTGCCACCTAAATTAGCTTTAAATTTTGTATCGGATTGCGGTCCAGATTACAAACGGCTGCTTGATAATCTAATTGATAAAATCGAGGAATTTAGTACTTGGAACCCAGAGTGAAGAGAACAGAATTGCTTTTGTTTCTCAAGTGTGTGTGACTGAGGGATGACCTGGGTGAAGAGAAGTGCCTGGAGTCATTACACTCAAGGAGGAGATC